>NT_167244.2:687359-938841 GCF_000001405.40 Homo sapiens
GGCCAAGTGTATTTTTTAATGTTCAACATCATTAAATCAAAGGAAATACAAACTACAACCACGAGATATCACTTCACATCTGTTAGAATGGCTTTTATCAAAAAGACAAAAAATAACAAGTATTAATGAGGATATAAAAAGAGAACCTTTGTACATTGTTTTTGGGAATTTACATTTGTACAGCCATTATGGGGAACATATAGAGATTCCTCAAAAAACATAAAGGTAGAAATACCATATGATTCAGTAATCCCACTTCTGGGTATATGTCTAAAGGAAATAAAATCAGTATTTCAAAACCAAACATTGTATGTTCTCACTGATATGTGGGAGCTAAGCTATAAGGATGCAAATACATAAGAATGATACAGTGGACTTAGGGGACTTGGGGTGTAGAGTGGGAGGGGGGGTGAAGGATAAAAGACTACAAATACGGTGCAGTGTATACTGCTTGGGTGATGAGTGCACCAAAATCTCACAAATCACCACTAAAGAACTTACTCATGTAACCAAATACTACTTGTACCCCAATAACCTATGGAAAAATAAAAAAAAAATTAGTATTTCAAAGACATATCTGCACTCTTGTGTTCATTGCAGCATGATTCTCAATAGCCAAGATACAGAATTAGCCCAAAGGTCCATCAAAACAGAGAAGTGGATTTAAAAATGTGACCTATATAATGTGCATATAGCGTGGTGATTATAGTTAACAATACTGTATTATATACTTGAAATTTTCTAAACTAGAAGATCATAAATGTTCTCACCACACACATACAAAAGGTTGTAACTATGTGAGGTGATGGATGTGTTAATTGGCTTAATTGTGGTAATCGTTTCACAATGTATACATATCTCAAAACATCACAGTAAACATCATAAATATATACAACTTCATGTGTCAGTCATACCTTAATAAAGTTAAGAGGAAGAAAACGACCACCAAACCCTCTAGGCAGGGGAATATATCAATAGGAACTTTAAAAACTGAAAAGCGAAGAAAACAAAGACTTATTAAAGCAGAGAAGAATATTCAAGGATTCTGGAAAAACTCCAAAATATGTAATACATACAATGGGAATATCAGAAGGAGTAGAAAAGTAGATAGGAACAGAAGAAATATTTGAAGCAATAACTGAAAATTTCCCCAAATTAATATGAGACATCAAACTTCAAATCTAGGAGGCTCAAGGAATACCAAGAAGCATAAATGCCAGAAAAACTATGGCTAGGAATATCATTTTTAAACTATGGAAAATTAAACAAAAATCAGAAAGTCAAAGATTTTTTTTAAATCATGAAGAAGCCAGAGGATAAAAAATACCATACCTTTAGGGAAGAAAAGATGACATCTGAGTTCGCAGAAGCTACAAAAGTTAGAAGAAAATAGAGTGAAATATTTAAAATTTTTGATAGAAGAAAAACCAATCTAGAATTCTGCACTACATGAAATTATCCTTCAAAAGTGAATGAGAAATAAACCTTCTCAGAGGAACAAAAATTGAGGGAATTTATTGCCAATAGACTTGCCTGGTAAAAAGTGATAAAATAAATTTTTTAGAGAGTAATAAAATTATACAAGTGAGACATTTCAATCCACCTTTAAGAACAGAAGAGCATTGAAGAAGAAATAAGTGAAAGTAAAATAAAAGAAAAAATATCTAATTACGTATGCTTATGTAAGTGTGTGTGTGTGTGTATGCTTTCATATGCTTAGGATGGTTTCATAACTTTGCTCTTGTGAAAAGTGCTGCAATTAACATACACATGCAGGTGTCTTGTTTGTACCATGATTTATTTTCCTTTGGGTAGATATCTAGTATTGGGATTGCTGAATCAAAGGGTAGTTCTAATTTTAGCCCTTTAAGAAATCTTCATACTGTTTTCCATAGAGGTTGTACTAATTTATATTCTCATCAACAGTATATAAGCATTCCCTTTTCTCTGCATTCTCACCAACATCTCTTGTTTTTGACTTTTTAATAATAGTTACTATTACTGGTATGAGATGATATCTCAGTGTGGTTTTAATTTGCACTTCTCTGATGACTAGCAATGTTGAGCTTTTTTTATATGTTTGTAGGTTTTGTAGGCTGATTGTATGTCTTCTTTTAAATGTAAGACCTGAAACTATAAAAATTTTAGAAGAAAACCTAGGAAAAACTCTTCTGAACATTGGCCTAGGCAAAGAATTTGTGACTAAGACCTCAAAAGCAAATGCAACAAAAATAAAAATAGACAAACAGAACTTAATTAAACTAAAAGGCTTCTGCACAGTGAAGGGAATAATCAACAGAGTAAACAAACAACCTACAGAATGGGAAAACATATTTGCAAATTATGCACCTAATACGGGACTGGTATCCAGAACTTACAAGGAACTTAAACAACTCAACAAGAAAAACAAATAAATAACCCCATTAAAAAGTGGACAAAGGAAATTTTTGTATTTAGTATATGCGTGAAATGTTTGTATTTTAAAATGTCAAAAGAAAAAAAAATTAGTACCTAACATTATCCTTTCGCACTGTGCCAAGAGTAGACATTCATTATAGTGCTTTTACATCTGTGAACACCCCCACTACATTGTGATCATTTCCTAGATTCCTTAACAGCTGGTAACAACCATGGAAATTAGGTCCTACCAATCAGCAAGACTATGCATGTGGAATTCAGTCTTCTCTGCATGAAACAGAGGAATCTGGTCCTTCTGGAGCATCAGTGATGGATCTAGAAGTACTCTAGGGTTGAGTAATGATGACAGTGATATTTACGCCAACAAGAGACCCTCTGTGTTTCTGCATCTCATTCCTGGCAGAATAATTCAGAGTCTGACTCTCTTTACCTACAGGATAGTGTGTGAGCTATCAAATATTATATAAGAAAAAACAGCAGCTTAAATTAGCCAGGGTAGCTTATGTTGTTTGCAACTGAAACCACACCAAGAAAATTCACTTCTCTCAATTACTCACTCCTGATTTTAGTTACATATGCACACAGACACACAGAATAGAGCCTGATATGGTTTCGTTTTATGTCCCCACACAAATCTCATCTCAATTGTAATCTCCCATGTCAAGGGAGGGACCTGGAGGGAAGTGATTTCATCATGGGGGAACTTTCCCCCACGCTGTTCTCCTGACATATACACTAAGTAAACAGAGCTCTGGTCTATATAACCCTGGGAACCAACCACATCCTCTCTGTACTACTTACCTCCAGACTTCTTTTACTTGAGAGAAAAATTAACTTTTACTTACATGACAATTTTTACTTTTAAAACTTTGTATTGACAGTTTCTAATAGCTAAGTGTGATTCCTGGCTGACTGATATATAATGTACTAGAGAGCCATTTATTAAAATGGTGAATTTTGGAATTGAAAAAGGAACATAAAAACATTTGGAATAAAAGTTAATCATCACCTTTCCACAATGGATGATTAAAGTATTAGGGAAAACGTTAATTAGAAACTGAGTAATTGATAGATCTGACTGATACCACCTCAACTCACTGGACAATAATATAAATAGCATCTCTAAGAGTGGGACAACTAAATATCATGTGTCTCAGGATATGATGCAATAAAAATAACATAGCAACTTAAGTCAATGGCATGACAAAAAAGTGGGGTCTGCTATGTTATAAAGGGACTGGAAAGACAATAACAAAATACATTGTGTGAACCTTGTTTAGATCCTAATTTTAAGAAATTACTTAAAGATCAATGGAGAAATTTGAACATGGCTTGTGTATTAGATGATATAAAGGAAATACTGATAATTGTGCTAAGTATCATAATGGTATTGTGGGCATGGTTTTTTAAAATGTCTTTATTAGTCACAGATTATACTAAATACATATGTGGAATATGTACATACATAACTTACACAACATAATAGTTATACAACATCTGGAATTTGCCCTAAAATTTTCCATGAAAACTAACAAACAAGGAGCTGTAGCTAATTAAAATAAGATTAGCAAAATGTTGATGTTGAAGCTGGATGGTGGCTACATGGAGTACATGGGGGTTCACTGTGCTCTTCTCTTTTATGTATGTTTGAAATGTTCTACAAGAAAAGAAGTTTAAAAGAAAAGGAATTCAGCTTTAGATTTTTAAAAACACATATCCTTAGATCTTGCAATTTAGGTGCTAAAAGTTTATTACAGGAAAATCCAGATGTAAACAATGTACAGTAAAAGAATAGAATACAACTAAAAATTCCCAAAATAGAATAACAAATCATGTTTAGCCATACGATGAAGCCCAGAAGAATAAAGAAATAGATGCTTGTTAATAGAAAAAGTTGTTCGTGACACAGTGTTCAGTGGAAAACCAGATTACAAACTCCATGATCCAACTTGTATGTATAAATATAAATACACATAGAAAGAAATTTTTAAATGTCATACAACAATAATATAAAAAACAATATTTCTAGGTTTATTTTGGTATTGCTGTATTATTTTTAAATATTTATGACATATTTAATAAAGAACTAATCAAAGTTTAAATAATTTTGATTATTTGACATGGATGGAATTGGAGGCTACTATCCTTCGCAAACTAACACAGGAACAGAAAATCAAATACCGTATGTCTTCACTCATAAGTGGGAGCTAAATTATGAAAACATATGGATACATAGAGGGGAACAACACACTGAATCCTACTTGAGGGTGGAGGTTGGGAGGAGGGAGAAGATCAGGAAAAATGATTAATGAGTACTAGGCTTAATACCTGGGTGATGAAATAATCTGTACAGTAAACCCCCATGACACAAGTTTACCTATGTAACAAACCTGCACATGTACCCTTGAACTTAAAATAAAAGTTAAAAAATTGTTGCCCTATCATTTTCATTTTTAGTATAACTGCAGAAGAGTTCAAAGAGAATGGTCGAATAAGACAAAGTTACTCCTCTCCAACCCATCCTGGAAGAGTCCCCAATGGAGGTGTCCGAAGTCCAAAATAACATCTTCATTACTCTCCTTCAATCAAGTGTTTCAGTTTGTTTGATACAGAGAATCTTCCGAAGTGCCTGATGCACCTCCTTGTTCCTCATGGTATAGATCACAGGATTGAAGAGAGGGGTGACCACAGTGTAGAGCAGGGAGAAGACCTTGGAGAGGAGCTGGGAATGGACAGCAGAGGGTGCAACATAAAAGATCATGAGCGTTCCATAGAATGTGGTCACTACAGCTAGGTGGGAGGAGCATGTGGAGAAAGCCCTTCTCCTGCTTGCCCCAGCAGGAACTCTCAGCACTGCCACCACAATTCTGGCATAAGATGTCAGAATCAGTCCAAAAGGAATAGTGAGGCAGAACACAGACAGAATGAGAGTTGTCACCTGAGCCACTCTGGGATCCGAGCAAGCCAGGCCCACGAAAAGCATAAAGTCACAGTAAAACTGGTCAATGTGGTTGGGGCCACAGAACCTCAGCTGGGCCACCAGGGCCACAACCAGTCCATCTACCACAAATCCAGAGAGCCAGGTTGTGACCACCAGCCCCATGTACCGTCTGGGCCCCATCAGGAGTGGGTAGTGGAGTGGGTAGCAAATTGCCAGGTAGCGGTCATATGCCATGACAGCCAGCAGTAAGCATTCAGCTGTGGCTAGAGAGCCGAAGATAAAGAACTGGAGCAAGCAACCAGCCACAGAGATAGTTGCTTCTTGCAGGAAGCCCTCCAGCATTTTTGGCATCACTGCGGAGGTGTAGAGAATATCCAGGAAGGACAGATTCGCCAAGAAAATATACATGGGTTTGTGGAGCCTCTGGGAGCTAACCACTGCTACAATAATCAGCATATTCCCTATGATGATGAAGACATAGACAGCAGTGAATACAATAAAAAACAAGAAATGCAGTTCAGGGATGTCATAGAAGCCAAGGAGGACAAATTCAGTAATAGTTTCGTTTCCTGTGGAGACAATTTCCATGTCGATCGTCCAAGTTTCTGCTTGGCAATAATTGGGGGAGAAATTTTAGCATGTCTCTGCATCTTCTATACCAAGCCTAACGTTATTAGAGCTAAAACAAAACAAAACAAAAAAGACAAAAATGAGTCTCTAAAACAAGACTCGCTCACGCAAGTCTTCAACTATCCCCCTTCTTAGTTGTCATTCCTTCCTCAACTCTCATCCTTCCCTGCCTTCCTTAATTGTGCATATTCTTTAACGCTCAGAAGAGTTTATCCAAACTCATAATTTTAGTCTTTCAAAGACCTTTACCCCATTAATTCAATCTACTACCTCTTTCGCATAATCACCTCTATCATTCTTATCTGTATAGTCAGCCATAGCCTCCTTCTTGTGCACCAGTATAATATTCTCCAAATGTGTGCTATATAGACATGGCCCACAACTGCAAACTCTTCTATCTTTCTCAATCACAACCAATTCCTCTATGAGTGGTTTGAGAATTCTGTCTAATCCCCATGGTCACTATCTCATTCTTCTCATTATCTCAACCGCCCCTTTCATTCCCCATCTCCTAATCAGTGATACCTTACCAACTGTTCCTCGGATAATTCTTATATATTCTTCACTTATTGCCTTCCTTAAATAGTAGTTTCATCAAGTCATTCAGGAGTTGGTAGTGAAAATGTGGTAAATGGTAATAGGGAAGGAAGTAGGTGCCATGGGAGCAGAGAAGGACCAAACCCAGCCTGGGGTTGTGGGGCAGAAGGTGTGGGATCAAGGTCGGGGAAGGCTTTCTGAAGATAGAAGCAAGTAGGCTAAGTTTTGAGGGCCAATTAAGAGTTGGCCAGGAGGCCGGGCTTGGTGGCTCACGCCTGTAATCCCAGCACTTTGGGAGGCTGAGGCGGGTGGATCACGAGGTCAGGAGATCGAGACCATCCTGACTAACACAGTGAAACTCCGTCTCTACTAAAAATACAAAAAAAATTAGCCGGGCGTGGTGGCGGGCGCCTGTAGTCCCAGCTACTCGGGATGCCGAGGCAGAAGAATGGCGTGAACTCAGGAGGCGGAGCTTGCAGTAAGCCGATATCGCGCCACTGCACCCCAGCCTGGGCAATAGAACGAAACTCCATCTCAAAAAAAAAAAAAAAAAAAAAAAAAAAAGAGTTGGCCAGGCAAAAGACAGGAAACCAGACCAGGCAGGGCATCCCTGGCAGGAAAGCATATGCAAAAGCAAAGAGTTGTAATTGAGCATGACACTTCTAAATATCTGAAAATGGCTCTGTCATACCTGCTGGAAGGTTTTCATATGCTATTCAAAGCAATATGTGTTTATTAACTGAAGACAATGAGAGAGAATACAGGGAATGATTAGAAACAGTTGAGAAAGGTAGAGAAAAAAAGCAGATATCATATAAATAAATATAAATACATAATACTAACAGTGTTACTTTCTAGAATATGGGATTAATAAACATACATTATATTTATTATCACAAAAAATGTAAGTTATCTTTAATACAAATAGTCTAGAACATCAGTTTCCTAAGAGGTGAAAAACTGGATGCCTCAGGGACCACAGTGCTGGGAGCCTTCACGGCACACTGTTTTGTAGTTTTGCCTAAGACCAAATCTGCCTTTTGAATGGAATCCCATTTTCCATACCTCTGCTCATTGCTAACGTTAAATCCTCGAAGACCCAGCTTAAGAACTTATCTCTACCAAGAATCCCCCTTGACTAATAGAGCCCTTTATTTCTCTCCCAATCATGTACTAAGGATCTAGTGTATAGAAGATATTACATCTGTTTCTGAGGATAGTGGGCCAAACAAAACTGGTCCATACTCTTAAGGAGTTTACACTCTTGTGTGACAGATGGACATATCAACAGAAAATTGCAATACGCCAAAAGACAGTTAATGAATTCAACCTGAAAGAAATAGTACTAGGAGGAAGTGATGCTGAACTGATGAGTGATTGCAGTGGAAAATGGAAAGAATGGAGGTGAGGGCATTTTAGGTAAAAGGAAAACCATGAGTACACACTGAGGCAAGAAACAACATTGGATGTGAGGAGGAGAAAGAGGTAGCAGGGGGTAAGTAGCCAAGGGTAGCTCAAACAATCCCCTCGATTCTGAAGGAGAATTAGGATTGAGGTGAAGAATGGGGGAAGACAGGGAGAGAAAGGGGCCAGGATCAGAGTCTGGGGACCCTTGCTTGTCACAAGAAGGAACTAGAGCTTCATTCTATAGGCAGCAAGGCACAGCTGAAGGCTTTTAAACAGTACAGTGGCATGTTTCAACCTAAATTTAAATAGTATTATGGAAGCTACATCCAAGGTAACAAGAGTGAAAGAAGGGATGGCCCCACTCATCTGATACCTGATGTGCAAATACATGCTGCCTTGAGTTCATCATTAATTATCTTATGGTATGCACTTTCTCTTTTCCAAAAGACTAAAAGTTCATTTAGCACAGGATTTAAATTTTTATAAGTGCTACTGTACCGAAGTCTTACAAAAAGATATATTCTCAATGAATACTTAATGTTTAACACCATGTCTTCCTTAACCTAAACCCATATGAATTGATCAGAGAAGAATGCTGTTCTTCATAGACTACAAAATTCCACAGGTTCTGTTATTGCCCTCCAACTCCCGTCTCTAAAGCTATTCTCTTACCCTTTGATCCCATCTGCATTTCCTTGTGAGTGAATCTGGCACTCCCTATGTGGGCCATCTTTAACTCTAGATTATTTTATCTGGTCCAAACTCATTCTGAGGCTTGGAGTCTTTCTATAGGATTCCTGCCAGGAGAGAGGTGAGCATGTAAATCAGGCAAGAATACCTCTAATAATAAATAGCTCATGACCACTACCTCCCCTGGAAATCAAGAGTATCATTGGAGCTGGAGGCTATTATTTTAAGTGAAATATCTCAGAAACAGAAAGTCAAATATTGCATATTCTCATTTATAAGTGGGAGCTAAATAATGTGTGCACATGAACACAGAATTCAGAATAATAGACATTGGAGACTTGGAAAGGTGAGGTGGGAAGGGGTGAGGGATGAGAAATTACCTAATGGGTATAATGCACACTATCTGTGTGATGGTTACACTAAAAGCCCAGACTCAATCGCTACACAATATATTCATGTAACAAAACTGCACTTGTACCCCTAAATCTGTAAAAGTAGATATGAAAAGAAAAGAAATGGGAAAAACACAGAAACAGTAGGATATATGAGAGGCTGTTATTCCCTTAAAGACAGAGGGGAATCAGGGAATAGAGGAAGTTGATGAATTTAGAGTTGAAAACTCCAAGGAATAGAGCTGAATTTGGAATTGGAAAACTCAAAAAACTGCAGGAAGAGTTTGAAATCAACAGGAATTTCACCATACTGACTGGTAGAGAAGTGAGAATAGTGCAAAATGCCTGTTTGTTGTCTAACGAACAATCAGCCACACACTCAATTCTAAGTAAAAACCATAACCCTCATTCAACCCAGACTCTGAGATAGCATAGAGTCCTTAATTAAAACGAGCAATTCAAAGAATATTCCAGGAAAAAATATTTTAAAAAATATATACAAAACTGTACATTTTAATTCATCTTTAGGTATTAGAAAAAAATTTATTCTCATATTTTGAAATGTCTGCTAAACAAACATGTTATGTTTGTAAGCAGAAAACCAAAAAGTTAATTCAGTTTGATTTTTTTAATCTGTTAATTCTCCTCAAGTCTCTTCAGTAATTACTCCATAATAAAACATTAAAATATACTTAAAAGGTTTTAAAAGAAAACAGTATAATTTTAAGTATATCCCAGTTTTGTCAAGCCATGGGATAGCAGGAGGAAAACTTTCCACCATGAAAACATTAGTATGAGGGTGTCTCGCTTCTTCCTACTCTGTAACATATCAACTGAAGCTTGGGGAGCATGAATATCTACTGTTCCCCATCTCCAAAAGAGAAGAGAGAATTAAAAAAATAAGTCAGTATGCACCCAGAAGGATTAGAAATCAACTTTTAAAAACATCCAATGGAGAAAAGAGCAGCACTGGTATTCTAGAGAAATACTGCGGGACTTCTTGAAATGATTTTTAATAAAAGACTTTTTGACTCTCTGGGTTAATTGAAAGTTGCTAGTGATTACAGGATAAACAGCTATAAAAACCAGCCATTTAACTTTTTTAAAGAATCTGTGAACTAAGCTGTAAAGAATTTTACAAAAATAAACGTACCCGAAATATCGACCCTGTTCTCTAAAGACAGGACTGTGAGGAGGAGATGATCTGCTAAGATTTGCTGAAGACTTCAGAATGTTGGAATTTCCTACCTTCAGCTCCCTCCCTGCTTGAGCTCAACCTGAAGTAACGTAGAACATTGATTACAAATGTCACCCTTGTTACCCTCCACTCCTGAGCCATTTTCTCTTCCACCCTCCATCCCCTTTTCTAGCTCTCAGGCTATTCTGTCCTTTCATCGCAGTCCTTTCCCTCTATCACATGGGAGGGCAGGAAATTGCCACAAAGGGAGAGGCCCCTGAGAACCAATTACAGATTTACTGGAGAGCAGCCTGAAATGAGCAAGACATAGCAGGCCCCTAAGGAAATTGTATTTTTTCAAAGGCGGTTTCCTGAACTGTTGGCTTGACCATAAACGGAGCAGAAACCAAAAGAGCCAAATGGAGCCCACCTTTCCATCCCCTTGGGGACAAATGCTCTCCATTTCACCAAACATCTAAAGCCCCAATTCCTAGTCTCCATAACTCACCAGAAAATTCTGATTTCTCTGCAACATCCCTAAATTCCCCATTACCAACAGTGGTCCTCCCAGGAGCCTGCCCTCAACTTTCATTCTCCAATCTACAGCCTCCAAATCGCCCTCTTACCATCCCAGGCAATTGTTTCAATAGGTACCACCCTTAGTAGGGGTGTTTTATATAGATCATCAAAATCTTGCCAATGCTGAGCCTGATTTAAGGAGAAGGAAGGTGGCGTGATGTTACAAAATGACGTTGAAATGGTTATGTAGCGTTTCAATATCCTTCCTGACCAAATTACTGCCCAACAACTTTGTCTGCCACTACTCCCTTTTTTGAAGCTTCCACAGAAATCAGGCTGATATATTTATTTCTCATCCCTAGGAGTGTGTTGAAGGCACTTCTGTGTCATTTATCAAACTCAGACCCTAACTTCAGCTCCACTTTCTCCCTGACCAACCGAGAACACTTTTTCTCTGAACTACGTTGTCTACTATCTGTAGTTCACAGTAAATGCCACCCTATTTTTTCTTGGCAGCAGGAGGGGTTCTCTTAATCGTTTATTTTTTTCATCAAACAGCAGCATATGCTAAAAGGTAAGTATATGTGTCTTGAAAAGAAAACTTTTGGAAAAATGTAGCATTTTTTAGTTAGCCTACATTATTATGATTTTTAATTGACAAATTAAAATTGTATATATTTATGATGTATAACATGATGTTTTGACATATGTATACATCATGGAATGACAAAATCAAGCTAATTTACATGAACCATTACCTCACATACTTATCATGTTTTTGTGATGAGAACACTCAGATCTACTCTTTTAGCAATTTTCACATATACAATTCATTAATTATAGTCACCCTTTCATATAATAGATCTCTTGAATTATCTCTCTTGTCTAACTGTAATTTTTGTAACCTTTGACCAATATCTTCTCAATTTTCTCCCTTTCTTCCAGCCCCTGGTAACCACCATTCTATTCTCTGTTTCTGTGAGTTTGACTTTGTAGATTTCATGTAGAAGGGAGACCATGAGGTATTTGTCCTTCTGTGCCTGACTTATTTCAGTTAATATAAGGTCCTCCAGATTCATCCATGTTGTTGCAAACAACAGAATTTCCTTCTTCTTTAAGGCTGAATAGTATTCCACTATGCATATATACCACATTTTCTCTATCCATTCATCTGCTGAGGGATGCTTAGGTTTATTCCACATCTTGGCTATTGTGAATAATACTACAATGAACATGAAAGTGTAGATCTCTCTTCTTATTTCCTTTGAATATATACACAGACAAGGGATTGCTGGGTCATACAACGGTTCTATTTTTAATTTTTTCAGAATTTTTCAGAAACCTCCACAGTGTATTTAATGACTGTACTAATTTACGCTTCCACCAAAAGTGTATGAGTTCTCCTTTTCCACATTTTCATCAACATTTATCTCTTATCTTTTCTGTAGTAGGCATTCTAACAAGTGTGAGGTGATATCTTATTGTGAATTTAATTTGTATTTCCCTGATGACTAGTGATGTTGAGCATTTTTTCTTGTACCTGTTTGTCATTTGTACGTCTTCTTTTGAGAAATGTCTATTCAGGTGCTTAGCTCATTTTAAAATTGAGTTATTTGTTTCCTTGTTATTGATTTGTTTAAGTTCCTTATATAGCTTGAATTTTAGCCACTTACATGTATCATTTACAAATATTTTCTCTCAACCTGTGGGTTGTCTTTTCACTCTATT
Organism: Homo sapiens; assembly: GCF_000001405.40. NCBI lineage: Eukaryota > Metazoa > Chordata > Mammalia > Primates > Hominidae > Homo > Homo sapiens. The sequence goes on from NT_167244.2 coordinate 699,799, forward strand.
GTTTCCTTTGCTGCGGAGAAATGTTTTAATTTGATGCAATCCCATTTGTTTACTTTTGGTTTTGCTGTCTGTGATTTGAGGATCATATACAAGAAATCTTGCCCATACCAACGTCATGGAACTTTTCTCCTATATTTTCTTCTAATAGTTTTACAGTTTGCAGTCATATGTTTAAGTCATTAATCCATTTTGAGTTAATTCTCATATATTGAGTGTCATAAGGATCCAATTTCATTCTTCTGCATGTGGATATTCAGTTTTCCAACATCATTTATTAAAAAGACTTTTCTTTCACCGTTTCATGTTCTGTTTATATGATCATATGGTTTTATCTTTAATTCTGTTAATGTTATGTATCACATTTATTGATTTGTGTGTTGAACCATCCTTGCATCTCAGAGCTAAATCTCACTTGATCATGGTGAAAGATCCTTTTAGTATACTGTTAAATTTGGTTTGATAGAGAAACACAACTTCAGAGATAATTCAAGTTTAAGATGGGAAAGTCTGACTAATCTTAATTCTTACAGATATTTTAGCAAACTTTTTGTCAAAATACATTTTATGGACTTTTTAAGGTCATCAGTTCAGACCACAGTCCCATGGATAAAGACAAGGATCTGTGGGGAGTAGATGTTTGTATTGTTAATCACCCTGGTGAGAGGTTAATCCTGGGGTATAAATGAAGTCTCCAAAAGTAGGTGATATATTAGCATGAAAAATACATTTCTACCTTCCCTTGTGTCCTGGGGTCAATTTGGCCTAAACTGCAAGACGTGAAAAGATTATAAGTAGTTCCAAATGAAATGAAATATACCCTTGGCCACATAAATTACCTAGTGGAATTCAAGTGTGTGTGGATCAGTATAACAGCATATAATTCTCTGCACTACATTTACTTTCCACTAAGTTAGAACTACAGTAAATTATTCTATAAGCTACAACTTGATATATGTTGTACTAGGAGAATTCTAAGAGGGCCTGTGGCCTTGCTTAGAAAAAGCAGGTACAGGGGACAGTGGTTGCTGTTCCCACAGCCAGGGTGGAGAAAGCAATGTCAACCACTGCAAAGGATGACAAAATAAAAAGAGTCAGTCAGCTCTCACAGAGCAGCAGCTTGAAGGCACAGAAAAGACACAAGAGAGGAAGGACCAGAGGAGACATTCCTGAACACATCTTGCAAACTCTCAGAAGTGACTATGGGATGCTTCACGGGGGCTAACTTCAAGCTCAAGTTTGACAACCATTTATGTTGTTTGGCTTTGGTCACATATATATCCTATTTTGTATCAGTAATTCCAGTTGGAAAAGAAACCACACATTTCCATGAGTCTCCCATGTTACTAAAATATTTCATAAGCTCGAGCTCAGTGATGTTTTCTGATTATTTGTTCCTTAGACTCCAGCCTAGGCATCCAAGGCAATCTGAATCCATAGAAACTTTAATAACAGTACATCATGGACCTAACCCAAAATATTGTTCAATCTCTTATCTTTGAAAACTTCTTGAGGATTAACAATATATTTTAATACAAAAGAGATAGTATTCAACCCAGCAGGATTTTACAAAAACAAATTATAGCTCTTTGTGGTTTCTGTTAGAGATTTACATAGTCTTACCATTTAGATTTCTTCTTCACTAGACTACGAATTAGAAGTAAATATTATCCAGGGCAGATGGTGTATCCTATTCATCTTTGTATCCCAAGAATATTTTAGCTGTGTCATAAATGATTAGTGAATAAGTAGCAATGCATGAATGCATGAATGAAAAAATAAAAATGGTCACTTGATTCATAATCCCTGGCCTTCTAAAAATATATTAACACAATGTCCGGTTGAAAAGAAAGTTCCAAACATTCCACCAGTAGACATGACTAGCAATAGAGTTGACCTTCATTATTTGTGGATTCAGTATTTGCAAAGTCACCTGCTCCCTAACATCTATTTTTAACCCCTAGCTCAATACTCACAGCACCTTCGCAGTCGTTCATGGACAAGTGCATGAACACAGTGACAAAAAGTTTGAGACACACTGTATGCATCCCCACCTGATGCTGAGCAAGGAAACGCTCTGTCCTCTTGTTTCAGCTATTATACTGTAAACAAGTGTCCTTTTCATGATTTCCTGATTTGCTGAATGCCATATTTTTCACATTTTTTGTTTGTTTTTTGGTGATTTCATAATTCAAAATAGCCCCAAATGTAGCGCTGAAGTGCTGTCCCATGCTCCTGAGCACAAAAAGGTTGCAATGGATCTTACGGAGAAAATGCATTTGCTAGATAAGCTCTGTTCAGGCATGTGTTATAGGGCTGTTGGCTGTGGGTTCAACGTTAATGATCAACGATATATATTATATAAGATGTGTTTAAACAGAAACACACTTACAATAAGGTTATTTATTGATCAGGTGACAAAAATGTGACCAAAAACTCATAGGAATCTAACCCTGCATCTCCCCTAAAGCAAGGAATTATTTAATATTTGCTCCTACAGGGTTCAAGGCAACTTTATAGAATGCAACTGCAGTGAATAATAAGAATCAGCTGTGTCTGCATTTTAAAGATGAGAAATATGAGTCTCATTAAAATGAAGTGAATTGTACAAAGTTATAGAATAGGTTAGTCATAGAGCCAGCATTAAAACCCTGGCCTAGTTCAGTGCTCTGTCAGCTGTATCTTCAGTTCTGAAAATGCAATAAGAAAAGATAAAATACGGAATTCAGTCGGCCAGTGGCCCGCAATCCTCTTCTCTCGGTTCCTCTTTCCTCGCTCAAGATGGCGCTGCTCGCGAAGCGTTCTTGGCGTTGGGCGGCCGCAGCGGCTGCTTTCGAAAAGCGCCAGCACAATGAGATACCATCTCACACCAGCTAGAATGCCGATCATTAAAAAGTCAGGAAACGACAGGTGCTGGAGAGGATGTGGAGAAATAGGAACACTTTTACGCTGTTGGTGGGACTGTAAACTAGTTCAACCATTGTGGAAGTCAGTGTGGCGATTCCTCAGGGATCTAGAACTAGAAATACCATTTGACCCAGCAATCCCATTACTGGGTATATACCCAAAGGATTATAAATCATGCTGCTATAAAGACACATGCACATGTATGTTTATTGTGGCACTATTCACAATAGCAAAGACTTGGAACCAACACAAATGTCCAACAATGATAGACTGGATTAAGAAAATGTGGCACATACACACCATGGAATACTATGCAGCCATTCTGCATCTTTCTAATGACAAGAATATTCTCCAGCATAACCACAATACTATTATTACACCCAAGGGAATTAACATTGAACCAATAATATAAAACCCATATTCAACTTTCCCACTTGTTCCAAATCTTTTTTATAGTTGTTTTTATTTTGTTTTGTTGATGACGTAGGATCCAGTCAAAAATCATGAATGACATTTTATTGCCATGGCTTTTGGTCTTCTTCAATCTGGAACGATGTCATCTCCCATCTTTGCTTTGTCTTTAAAGACATGGATATTTTTTAAGAGTTTGTGTCAGTTGTCTATAGAATATGCCACAATATGGATTTGTCTGACTGTTTTCTTATACTCCAATTAAACATTTTTAGCAATAATACTACATAGGTTACACTAAGAGTGGACAAATAGCAATCCAAATTATTCTACTCCATTCTGTTCCCTGTAACATTAATGGCATCATCTTCAGCCATAACAGGGCTACACTCTGGGAGTAGATGACTGATGAGCTGAGAGAAAACAGATTCCTGAGGAATTCTGGATCAGAGCAGCCATATTTCCCTGAACTACAAATCTTTAGACATTTAAGTGAGAGATAAATTTTCATTCTCTTTGAGCCATTGGCATTTCCATTACTTTCAGCCAAATCTAATAAATAAATGAAATGATAAAATATAAAGGAGTCAGAAGAAAACTAAGTACGAAATCCAGTTTATGTAAACCCTGAACTTCTAGTTATATAAATTAATAAGTAAATTTATTACTTAAACCCGTTGGAGTTGGGGCTTGTTATAATGGTTGGTATGTCTTGAAAACATTCTATTTGACACACAGCTTTTATCACATCTATGAAAATGTATAAAAACACAGAAGAAACAAATCAAATAATAGATACCAATGATAAAAATGCAAAGAAAGATTTGTATAATAAATGAAAAAGAAATCAAAGCAAGAAAAATTAGTGACAATTGTATAAGAAAATGACATTTAGCACCTCAATTAGGTCAAAACATGTTTATTTCTCTTTTATATTATTAGTTACCTGTAGAATCAATAAAACCTGCAAGGGACCCTATAAATAGTTATCAAATAAATTGATTACTGGATTATATCAATATACATAAGAAGGGTAAAATTGCATTATTACTTTTTGTAGATGTACTAGAACATCTACAGTGATGGGAAAAAATCATGAGAAAAAAGAAGAAAATTAAAATGGTTGAACCAGAGATATGGGAGAACTAAGAGAAACCAATAGCTCTGGATATATTCTTTGAAATGTTCTTAACAGGTCATTCTGTATTTCTTGCAATCTAAGAAACAGATTCAAAATAACAGATTAATTGGTTTTGTGAAGCATTCTCCCCATTGGAAAGCCAAGAATGCTTGGAGACTCAGATCCTCAGAGAGCTTAAAGAGAGACAACAAACCTAAGAGAGGCTTCCTCAAGAGGGATCCACTATGTAGATAAAAAAGAAGATAAGCAAGTCACAAATGCCATCTGCCTTCACTGGTTATTTCTCCAAATAGAAAATAGAAAGACACCTTTGAGATAATATCTTCTGGAAAACACTGAAAGAGCCCCCAGAGGAGAATGAACCAAGGGCTCTTCAACTGCAAAAGGATATCAGTGTGTGGACTTGTATTTCTAATACACAACCTTGAATATGGCTGGAATATTGAATTTGTGTATATATTCAAGTGTATCTTTGGGTGTTTATAGTTTTATGTTCAGTGTATTTAGACTTTTACTGTTATCTGTAATAATGCCAATAGAATACATGATTTGCAACTTTAGATAAATCTGGCATCTGGGAATATTAGGCTATTCTTCTGTGCCTGTATTTTGAAATATAATTTGACAGTGTGTGAATTTGTGGAGTTTATGTGTGTAGTTTGGGGATTTTCATGTTTACAATGTAAGAGGACTAAGTTTGAAAGTCTGTAAGATGCAGAAATAAGCAATTAAGGAAGTTCTTGTCATCTTTTGCCTGAGCATGTTTTAAAACTAGAGAAATGCTCACCCCTCTAAATAGTTGAACTGTTTAATGCTATAGGAGCTTAAAAAGAGAGGATCTTTCTCATTTTTTTTCTCCTCCTTGAACACTGTGAAATTTATGGTAAAATGACAGAAAAAGAAGAAAGACTAAGTGAATCTGGTAACTAAAGAAAGAGCTGGAAAAAAGAAAACTAGAGGGCAAGAGGTGATAAGAGAGGTCACCTCTTATCAGACAGGAGACAAGTTGATGGAGAAAAAGATCTGCTATGAGGGAAAATTCTGTCTCCAGCCCTGCAGGAAGAATTGGAAAATCAGAAAAGAGTGAAAAGGGAGCTAGACTGACTTAATCTTCAGCCCAGGTAAAACTGGAAAGACAGTTTAACATGTTCTTTAGAATGATAGGCACTATCAGGAAGAGATGAAGTCAGGGATTCAGGCTCAGAGAGACAAATACTCATCCAGGATCCCAAGAGTGAGCAAGGGTGGAATATGGACTCCAGGCAAGGCTGCCTAATTTCAAAGTCCATGATATTCTAATAGAAAGGGAGATCTAGTGCTGCGATCAGATGCAGAGAGAGGTCATCTTTGCCCATTTCACGATTCCATAGTTGTGATTTTTCCTTGCCATTTCTTTTGTCTTCCAGTCAAAGGTATGCAGGCAGGATGAGTGCAAACACCTCCATGGTGACTGAGTTTCTTCTTCTCGGCTTCTCCCACCTGGCCGACCTCCAGGGCTTGCTCTTCTCTGTCTTTCTCACTATCTACCTGCTGACCGTGGCAGGCAATTTCCTCATTGTGGTGCTGGTCTCCACTGATGCTGCCCTCCAGTCCCCTATGTACTTCTTCCTGCGCACCCTCTCGGCCTTGGAGATTGGCTATACGTCTGTCACGGTCCCCCTGCTACTTCACCACCTCCTTACTGGCCGGCGCCACATCTCTCGCTCTGGATGTGCTCTCCAGATGTTCTTCTTCCTCTTCTTTGGCGCCACGGAGTGCTGCCTCCTGGCAGCCATGGCCTATGACCGCTATGCAGCCATCTGTGAACCCCTCCGCTACCCACTGCTGCTGAGCCACCGGGTGTGTCTACAGCTAGCTGGGTCGGCGTGGGCCTGTGGGGTGCTGGTGGGGCTGGGCCACACCCCTTTCATCTTCTCTTTGCCCTTCTGCGGCCCCAATACCATCCCGCAGTTCTTCTGTGAGATCCAGCCTGTCCTGCAGCTGGTATGTGGAGACACCTCGCTTAATGAACTGCAGATTATCCTGGCAACAGCCCTCCTCATCCTCTGCCCCTTTGGCCTCATCCTGGGCTCCTACGGGCGTATCCTCGTTACCATCTTCCGGATCCCATCTGTTGCGGGCCGCCGCAAGGCCTTCTCCACCTGCTCCTCCCACCTGATCGTGGTCTCCCTCTTCTATGGCACCGCACTCTTTATCTATATTCGCCCTAAGGCCAGCTACGATCCGGCCACTGACCCTCTGGTGTCCCTCTTCTATGCTGTGGTCACCCCCATCCTCAACCCCATCATCTACAGCCTGCGGAACACAGAGGTCAAAGCTGCCCTAAAGAGAACCATCCAGAAAACGGTGCCTATGGAGATTTGAAAAGGGGGCGATAGTGACTTCTGTGCAGTGCTCTGAGTCAGTCCCAAATACCTAAGGATCAAAGAGTCTCCCTTAAGGTCTTTCTTCACATTAGGGGAGGGCCAGCCTGTCAGAAAGACAAACTTATCTTTGAAAAGCTACCGTAGTCAAATGCGCTCCTCAGACCCTCACAACACATACATATTCTATTCCGCTTTCTGTTGCAAGAAACAAGAAACCCAGGATGGAGGATCAATTTCAGAAGCAGAGCAAGTTGACAACCAGGGATAAAGTTACAAAATATTATCCTTATCAGACTAGCAAGGTAATAAAATTTTCAGCCACAACAATGATCCTTAAAGTCATTTGACATTTGTACGTCCTAGGTAAGGCATTTGTTTCTTGGGTGGTACTACTGGTTAGTACCTTAGCAAACATAATTATACCTAATTAAATCTACTACCAGCTAAAGACAGATTCCTCAAGAAGTAAGGAGTGGCCACAAAAGTTTCAATGAAGGTAAGTTCTTATGGAAATTCATATGCCGCAGAGGTTAAGAGAACAGATTCTGATGTCAGACAGACTTAAAGTCAAGTCTTATTTTTTCCAGCTAGTTAGCTAAGTGATCACAGGTGAATGATATAATCTCTCTGAGCCTTAATTTTTTTAAATTTTATTTTAGATTCAAGGGTACATGTGCAGGTTTGTTATATAGGTAAATTTCACCTCACAGTGATTATTTAGTCACCCAGGTAATAAGCATAGTACCTGATAAGCAGTTTATTGATCCTCACCCTTCTTCTATCCTCCACCCTCAATTATGTCCTGGTATCTGTTGTTCCTTTCTTTGTGTTCATGTGTACTCAGTGTTAGGTCCCACTTTTAAGTGAGAATATATGGTATTTGGTTTTCTGTTCCTGTGTTAGTTTGCTTAGAATAATGACCTCCAGTTCCATCCATGTTGCTGCAAAGGACATAATCTGTTTGTTTTTTGTTTTGTTCTGTTTTGTTTTTATGTGAGCCTTAATTTTCTTATCTATAAAGTTGCGGTAACAACAGAGTCTAATTCATTGGGTTTTTGTGAGGATTTGTAGACTTGCAAACAATCAAGCTTAATATCTGGCACAAAATAGTATCTTGATAGATGTTTTTGTTAGCAAGTCAGACAGGTCAGCGCAAAGGCTAATGTTTGGCTCACATGGGGTGACTTTGCTGGGAAGAGAAGGGTATTCTTGAAATATCAGTGGCATTGGAACCCACAAGAGACCCAGAGGAAGGTGGAAGAAGAGGCTCTATACATCACTGTTAACAGAAACTGCTACCCAGCACAGATATGAGCCAAAAACTACCAAGACACGGAAGAGCAAATATAAGGGCTATGATATGCAGGAGAGTCAGTGAACTGCAGAACAAATAAGTGGAATAAGCTGAGAGGGTGAATCAAAAACAGCCATCTCCAAGAGGCAAGTATTTATTAATAATTAAAAGTGCAATCTACATACTTTATATCATTCCAACACTTTATTCAAATGCAACAGTATTTATTGCAAACTTTCTATGTGCCTATTGCTCTTTGGCACTGTGGAGAATATCAAGTACATACAGGGTGGTGATTCTGTCCAGAGAGCACTTGCTGTCCTGTTAAGAAAGCACTGATTCTCATGAAACTATCAGAGAACAGTTTGCAAAGTAAGAAAACACTCAAAATGTAAAGCGAAAAGACAAAGGTGTTACTCCCTGTCCCCACCCCCCAAAAGGGGTTGTGTGGCCTTCCTCAAACTCATTTTATCAATGTGGAAAACCTCACAACTACTGCTCTTCAATTGAACAAAACTGCAATAGCGAGGAACAGCATTTAAGAAGGGTTGCCTAAAGGATTGTCAAAACAGCTTTTCCTCTGATAATTTAAAATCTAAATCTTATCCCCAAGCTAAAGCAGATGAGCACAGAGCTACACATTTAAAATGCTGAAATATTTCCACTTCCTACATATCTCCATCAACTCATCTTTCCTAGAACTGGTCTTGCTAAAGAGTGTTTTGGCATTAAGCCATTGGTTTACATTGAGAAAGATTACAAGAAGCAACATTATGAAACTCTCAGAGGGATCATTTTTCTCATATCTCAGTGATAGGAATCACTGTATTTTTCCTGTCATATAAGCAATAACATTTCCTCACAGTTTTATGGAAGTACAATTGGCATATGACAAATTGTACATGTTTAAGTGTGCAATTTGATAAGTTTTGACCCATGTATGCACCATGACATTATAGGCGCAATCACGAAATGAACATATCCAGCCCCCGTGCTCCCTCACACTCCATTGTAATCTCTCTCTTTCACCCCTCCCTGCACTCCTCATTCCCAAGCAACCTCTGATCTGCTTCCCAACACTATATTTTTCTTTTTTCAGAGTTTTATATAAATGAAATTATAAAATATGTACTCTTTTTAGTCTGACTTATATTTGGAGATTTGGCCATGTTGTGGTGTGTACAGCAGCCATTCCTTTTCATTTCTGAGTGATACTCCATTGTATAGATATGACATAATTTGTTCATCCATTCACCTGCTGAAGGAAATTTGGGTTGTTTTCACAATTTTTTATTCATTCACCTGCTAAAGGAAGTTCAGGTTGTTTCCAGTTTTTGGTTCATAGAATGAAGGTTCTATGAACATTTGTGTACAAAGTCTTTGTATGCTTTCATTTCTCTGGGGTAAATACATAGATGTGAAATGGCTGCATCACATGGGAAGTGTATGTTTAATTTTTTAAGAAATTAAGTAATCACTTTTCCTCTTAACATGACAGCTAGCAAGTTTCCACCTGAATTTGTAACTCATCTCCAGGAAATGTGCAATTCCTCACGATATATTTTTGAGATATCTAGTTTCTGGTCTCACTTGCTGTTGTTGTTGTTGTTCTATTCTACCTTTTTCTTTGTCCAGTCTCTCTCATCCTTATTTTCTGTACATTTATGTAACCCAGCACATTAGTCTTTCTGGAGCAAGACTTAGAGCCACCAATCAGTAATTAAAAAAAAAAAAATAGACAGGGGAAAGTATTGAATGGAAAATCCCTGGTTATATGGTTTGGCTCTATGTCCCCACCCAAATCTCATCTTGTAGCTCCCATAATTCCCATGTGTTGTGGGAGGGACCTGGTGAGAGATGATTGAATTATGGGGGTGGATGTTTCCTGTGCTGTTCTTGTGATAGTGAATGGGTCTCACATGATCTGATGGTTTTAGAAATGGGAGCTGCCCTACACAAGCTCTCATTTTTCCTGCTACTATCCATGTAAGATGTGATTTGCTCCTCCTTGCCTTCCACCATGATTGTGAGGCCTCCCCAGTCATGTGGAACTGTAAGTCCAATAAACCTCTTTGTTTTGTAAATTGCCCAGCCTTGGGTAAGTCTTTATCAGCAGTGTGAAAACAGACTAATACACCTTGGTAAAGATTGAAGACATGGGTTGTGATCTCTACTCCGTTACTAAAACTTTACAGGACCTAGAGCAAACTCTTTGCATCATCTTTTTGGTTTTCAATTTCATCATCAATAAACATAAAGGCTAAATCAAATGAGCTCTGGATTGAGTTCCAGATCCACTATTCTGTGCTTATTTGTCCCAAGGACTATATGCTTCTTATAGCTGATACTCTCACAAAGAACCAGAAGGAAGATTGCAGCAAATGCTCTTTCTCCACCATAGATAGCTACCAAGGGACCTTGAACTACATTAATCCTGGGCAATATAAGCACAGTCATTGGTTTTCAAGACAAACACCACTCAAAAGCTAGGGAGAGTCCATCAGTGATCCCCATATTGAGTCTTCCCCCACTGTATTCTACCTTCCTGAACCTCACATCTCCCTTACTCACACCTGCCATTGCCCCTGAGCAAAACTTGACCTGCTTCTTGAAATCCCACTGCTCTGTCCCTAATATTTCCTCCTACCAACCTTTCTCCCTGACACTCCCTTCCTCAACTTCCCTAATCCCATGGGACCCACTCACTATAGTGCACCCCAGCTCCTGATGGTATCTGCTACCAGAAGTATCCTCATTCTTTCTTTCTTTTTTTTTGACAGGATTTTACTCTTGTTGCCCAGGCTAGAGTGCAGTGGCACGATCTTGGCTCACTGCAACCTCTGCCTTCTGGTTTCAAGCGATTCTCCTGCCTCAGCCTCCTGAGTAGCTGGGATTACAGGAGCCTACCACCATGCCCAGCTAATTTATGTATTTTTAGTAGAGACGGGGTTTCACCATGTTGGCCAGGCTGGTCTCGAACTTCTGACCTCATGATCCACCTGCCTTGGCCTCCCAAAGAGCTGGGATTACAGGCGTGAGCCACTGTGCCCAGCCAGTATCCTCATTCTTTAGCTTTGCAGAACTGAAGTAAGAAGTGACTGTGGCATCAGGGAGGGAGGGTAGAAGTCAGATGGAAGGGAAGGGAGAAGGAGAGAAAGAAGAAACAGAGGCAGGCTGAAGAACTGAGCAGAGAAAAGAGAAAGAACAAAAAAGACCTCAGAGGAAGACTCACCGGCTCACAAGGAAAGCCATCTCTGTGCATCCCAGGCCAATCTCTTCACAGGGCTTGGAGAAACCTCCCAACCAGAGCTCACTCCCACAGTCTATGCTCACTGCTTCCCTGCATCAGCTCCTCCTGTGGCAGCATGGTCCCCCTGCGTTTCTGCTCCCCACTGAGCTCTCTGGGATTCACAAATCAGTGCCCTAGGGAGGGCTTGGAGAGCCTAGCACGTGGGGATCTTACACAGGGGCCAGGAAAGGGATGTAGGACTCAGGAAGAGACACTGAACAAAGGCTGTGGCTCAGTCCTGGAAATGGGAGCGTGTGCTTGTCCATTGCCAGCCTCTCTGCCTCTCTAGGTTGTGTGCCCTCACTGGCCTTAACTCTTTCCAGTCAGGGAAGACTAGGAAAGAGTTGGAAGAGGAAATATTGTAGAAGAAAGAAGAGAACTCAGGTACATCAGGGCCACCAAGAAACAGGGGCTCTGGGTCTCCCAGGGACATAAGGAGAAGGATTAGGAGCTGACCAGGCTTGCTACACAAAAGATTCCAGGGTTGATCCTCTGAGAGTTGAGAAAAACAGAAAGTGGGATCTCAGTGCAAACTTCAAGCTTCAAAGATGCCACCCATCATCTATTCAACTTTTTTTTTCTTTTGGCTAACCCTTTACACTTCTTTCAAGTCTGCGAATAATTATCAAGTTCCCACAGTGTGCCTTATTCTACATAGTGCTGGCAATCTGGTCAACTTCCTTTGTATTTCTCCTCTGCTCAGCTTTTCAGTGGATCCTCTTCATTCTCCTTCATTCTCACTGCAGCCCAGACCCACTTCCTCCCTTCCCTGAGCTTCCCTTGCCTATCTCCCTCCTCATCACCCAATCCCATTTCCTGCAAGAAGAGGCAATATTATTAATCTGTCTCATCTACCATAACCACCACCTGGTTTGTGCAATAGCATTTTCTGGATGTTTCCTCTCCTGGCAGCCAGGACTGACAATGTCACCTGCCAGGGGCCTGGAAAGCCAAGCCACAACCTTCTTAACCAATTAGAGGCACTGCAGAGAAGCAGCAGGAGTCAGGGCACTTGCACCCAAGAATGATAGATATATTTATTCACCACATATGTATGGATATAGTTAGAGAAACAAGCCTCAAGGCACAACGATTGACTGAGGTTAGACATTCGGCCACTTGAGAGAATGAGGAGGTGGAAGCACAGAAGTTAAAAGTCATCTCTCTCCCATTTGCTTCAACCTCAGCATGCCTGAAAAAAACATGGTTGATAATATACCAGTCAGTGACCAAGCCCTAATGAAATGACTGACTTACCAATACTGACTTCTCAGGAGGCTGATTTAGAGCCAAAGTAACTGCTGAGTTCTGAATAAGCAGCACACCTGGTCTGCATAATAAGATCCATTTTGCAATCACCCTCTTCAGAAAGCCAAATAATAGGTCAAAAGGTGGTTTAGAACCCAAGCAGCGGAAATAACACAGTTGAGGACTCTGTCGACCATAGGCACCCTGATGGACCTAAATAAATTACTCAACTTTTCACGAGAATATTTTACCTAATAACTGGAACTTATCATCCAGAACAATGTTTTCTGCCTCTTTGTTTTTCAGTTCATGATATTCCTGTGGACTGGCTTTACTCCTAATTTCCGACCCCAATAAGATCCTGGTCTAGTTCTTGGTATCTAGACCTAATTCCCCATTTGCATAAAAGAATACAAATGATAAACATAGAAACCCTGACCATCCTTGACTCCAAGGGTAAAAATACTGCCCTAGGCAATCATGATGCCTCTTATTTACTGCCTTTCAAATAGAAACTTTCTAAAGCAGCCATTGGGAAATAGTTCATTTTTGCAATGGACCACAGATACCTATACACATTGGGCTTATCATTTTGATCTTTATTCAGCTCCTAAAAATAGTCAATTTGAAAAATGGGGTTTGCATTGACAGTTTTATATTATTGATGCCAATTTGGAATTTTATACTTGATAATATTTATTTGTTGAATGAATTTGAACGAGTGGTAGAAGACTCTTCTGGCTGGAGCACTTTTAAGTCTTGCACTAGCATGGGTCTGGAAATGAACTGAAGGAGGACTAGAGATAAGTACAGGGGTGCGTCCCAATTGTGAATGAGAATGCAGGCCATATACTCTTTGGAGAATCACCATTATGGGCCCTCTGGCAGTATAAATGAGGCCATTGTAGAGTTATTCTTCTGTATTATCCAAAGAGAGGACCTAAAACAAATTAGTGAAATAAATACTGTAGGATTTCTGCTAGATGATGAGGCTTTTAATTCTTCCTGTTTCTGGGATGGCCTGGCTGGGCCTCCTTAGGAACTCAGCTCATTCCCCATTCCTCCTTGACACTGGATATGCATTCTTTGCATTCCTTGGCTTTCTCTCTGGTGTTCTATAGAAAGTAAATGAGTCACAGTTCCTTCAGTTCTTTCTTTTAGCCAGTCTATAGCACTCTACTGGTCATCAAAAAAGATCCAAAAGTGATCAACATGACCCTTTCTTTTTTTTTTTTTTTTTTTTTTTTTGAGAAGGAGTCTAGCTCTGTCGCCCAGGCTGGAGTACAGTGGTGTGATCTCGGCTCACTGCAACCTCCGCCTCCTGGGTTCAAGCGATTCTCCTGCCTCAGCCTCCCAAGTAGTTGGAACTACAGGTGTGCGCCACCACACCCAGCTAATTTTTGTATTTTTAGTAAAGATGGGGTTTCACCAAGTTGGCCAGGATGGTCTCGATCTCTTGACCTCATGATCTGCCCACCTCGGCCTCCCAAAGTGCTGGGATTACAGGCGTGAGCCACCACACCCAGCCACACGACCCTTTCTAAGGAAGTGAAGATGGCACATGGAGACCAAGTACAGAAAGGACTACTGGGGGTCTTGGATGGCCCTCCAATGCTGTTGTCTCTCCAGTTCCTCTTGGATAATTCTGGTGTCCATGAATTATTATGTTGCCACATTTGGATGCCCCATAAGGGTCACTTGAGAAAATCATGAAATCTGGGAAAGGAAGGGCAAGTCATAGAATCCTGCCACTATAGAATAATGTCTGACAACCAAGTGATACATTCTGTTTAAGTAGGCACCAAACTGTCGGCAAAAGCCCCATTTTCGAGTTGGCCAGTTCTGGCAATTTTCTGTGTCCATTCTGCATGCCACTCAACTCCTCTAATGAATTCTTATTCCTTTTCAAGCCTTCTGTATTCCTTCTTATCATACTGGACACTTTGACCTCTGGTGTCCTAGAACTCCTGCTTCCCATGACTTCCATCTCCAATTCCAATAAACACCTTCTTTTTAAAAATTTCCTGATATTACCCAGTAGCTCTCATCCCTATTTCCCTTTGAAGTACTCATGTTTTTTATGATCCCTTCTCCCAACACTTTTCTTGCCTTCAATGTATTTTTAATGACTGGTGACCTCTTACCTCTCCTTCTTTTACTTTAACCTCTAACTTCTCCTAATCAATATGCCTTAAAACTCTTTCAGTGAAGGCAAAATGATGAAGAAAGTAGAAATATCAGTGGTTTCCAGAGGTTACAGCAGGAGTATGGGGTCAGAGAAGGAATGATGAATAGAAAGCACAGAGAACCTTGGGGCAGTCACACTATTCTGTATGTACTAGGATTCACTTGTCCAAACACATAGAATATATAGTACCAAGAGTGAGTCCTGAAGTAAACAATGGACGTTGGGTGATAATGATATGTCAGTGTAAGTTTATCAGTTATAACAAATTACCACTCTAATATGGGATGTTGTTAGTAGGAGAGTCCACCTAGGGAGGAAGGGCAGGAGGTATACAGAAAACCTCTCTACTCTCTGTTCAGTTTTACTATTTAAAGAAAAGGAAAGAAGAAGAAAACTTCAAATACCTCCCTATAATCCTATACTAAATGATACTCTAGCTATCTTGCCCCCTCTTAATTACCAGAAGTTTCTAATCTCTACATATGTTAAGTACTCAAAAAATATTTCAAAAAATCAAATATCAAAAATAAATTACTCAAGCTACGTCTCACAAAAAAGTATCTTTCTTTCCCAGTTATGATTTTTCTTCCTTCTTCTGATATCCTCACAACTGAACATTTCCTTCGAATACACCCACCCACCCATAAATGACCAATCTTTCTCTTTTTTTTGTTGTTTTGGAGATGGAGTCTCGCTCTGACTCCCAGGCTGGAGTTCAGTGGCATGATCTCGGCTCAATGCAACCTCCACCTCCCAGGTTTAAGCAATTCTCCTGCCTCAGCCTCCAGAGTAGCTGGGACTACAGGCATGCACCACCACGTCCAGCCAATTTTTGTATCTTTAGTAGAGATGGGGTTTTTCCATGTTGGCCAGGCTGGTCTTGAACTCCTGACCTCAGGTGATCTGCCTGCCTCAGCCTCCCAAAGTGCTAGTATTACAAGCCTGAGTCACCGTGCCCGGCCCAAATGACCATCTTTCTTACCACTCATCCACAAAGCTCACAAAACGAGAAGCTGCTCAAAACACTGAGATGCCCCTCTAGGCTGGTAACAGCGTGACTTAGAACAAGTCCTCCAACTTTTCTAGCTTTCTCACCGAAAAATGGGCCTGTGGCAGCACAGTTTTATGAGTAACTAAGATATGGGATGTAGAAAGACCCTAGAAGAGGAAAAAAAACACAACAATGGTCATTGTTAAAACAGGGGACTACATTTGTCCTTGGTTCCACCACTGTCCCACAGCCCCAGCTGGTAGTTTGGCTTCTCCCATGCAGCCTCCCTCTTAGGCCCAACCATAGTATCAAAACTCTCAACAGCTATCCCAGACCTGCTGGGTCATCCCTCACAACAGAAACTCAGTGTTTGGGTAGAGTGGAGAGGCTTGTAGTGATCTTAACTTTCCTGAGAATGCTCAGCCTAATTATGTCCCGGGTATAGAATCCAACCTCATCCTTGAAAAACTGAAAGCTGTCCACAGCTATAATCCTAAAATATTTTATTGGAATCTTAAAAGCAGACATATGTTCATTACAACATCCACTGCTCTGTTAAGTACTCCATCTGGCATGGCACAGAATATGGCAACAATGTCCAAGCTGAGAGACAAATCAACAGTGCAATTACATTCACAATAGCCACACACACACACACAATACCTAGGAAAGCAGCTAGACAGAGAGATGAAAGACCTCTACAACAAGCAAGCATTACAAAACACTGCTGAAGGAAATCAGAGACAACACACACAAAAAATGGAAAAAACATTCCATGTTCATGAATAGGAAGAATCCGTATTATCCAAATGGTTATATGACCCAAAGTAACTTACAGATTCAATGCTATTCCTATTAAACTACCCATGACATTTTTCACAGAACTAGAAACAACTATTCTAAAATTCATATGTTACCAAAAAAGAGCACAAATAGCCAAAGCAATCCTAAGCAAAAAGAACAAAGCTGAGGACATCACATTATCCAACTTCAAGCTATACTACAAGGTTACAGTAACCAAAATAGCATGGTACTGTTACAAACACAGATACATAGACCAATGGAACAGACCAGAGAACCCAGAAATAATGCCGCACACCTACAACCATCTTATCTTCAACAAAGTCAACAAAAATAAGCACTCACTATTCAATAAATGGTGCTGGGCTAACTGGCTAGCCGTATTAGGAAGATTGAAACTGGACCCTTTCCTTTCACCATATGCAAAAGTCAACTCGAAGTAAATTAAAGATTTAAAAGTAAAACCTAAAACTATAAAAACCTTGGGAGAAAATCCAGCAAATACCATTCTGTACATACAAATGGGTGAAGATTTCATGATAAAGTTGTCAAAAGTAATGGAAACAAAAACAGAAATAGACAAGTGGAACTTAATTAAACTAAAGAGCTTCTGCACAGCCAAAGAAACCATCAAGACAGTAAATAAACAGCCTACAGTATGGGAGAAAATGTTTGCAAACTATGCATCTGACAAAAGTCTAATATCCAGAGCTTATAAGGAACTTAAAGAGAAAAAAAATTTTTTTTAAATGGGCAAAGGACATGAACAGACACGTCTCAAAAGAAGACATACATGTAGCCAAGAAGCACATGAAAAAAATGCCCAATATCACTATTCATTAGAGAAATGCAAGTGAAAACCACAGTGAGATACCATCTCATATCAGTCAGAATGACTCAAAAAATAACAGATGCTGGAAGCATCGTGGAGAAAAAAGGAATGCTTACACACTGCTGCTGAGAATGTATGTTAGCTCATACATGCTGCTGAGAATGTATGTTGAAAGTGGTTTGGAGATTTCTCAAAGAACTTAAAACTGAACTGCCATTTGACCCAGCAATCTCATTACTGGAAATATACACGAAGGAATATAAATTATTCTACCATAAAGAGTCATGTATGTGTATGTGTTCACAATAGCAAAGACATGGAATCAACCTAAATACCTATCAACAGTGGACTGGAGAAGAAAAATGCATGGTACTTATATACCATGGAATACTATACACCCATGAAAAATGAAATCATGGCCTTTGCAGCAACATGGATCCTGATGGAGACCATTATCCTAAACAAATTAAAGCAGGATTGGAAAACCAAATGCTGCATGTTCTCACTTGTAAGTGGGAGCAAAACATTGAATACACATGACCACAAAGAAAGTAACAATAGACACCAGGGCCTACTTGAGTTGGAAGAATGGCAGGATGGTGAGGGTCAAAAAACTACCTATTGTTTACTGTGCTCACTACCTAGGTGACAAAATCATTTGTACACCAAACCCCAATGACACGCAATTTACCCGTGTAACAAACCTGCACCTGTGCCCCTTGAAACTAAAATAAAAATTAGGGGAAAAAAAGGAGAAGAGAGATAAAAGGGCAAACAAAAAAATTGTTCAAAAAATGTTGGCAAAATTTTTTCAAATTCGATAAAAATAGCAATCCACATTATCAATACCACATCTACATACATCATAAACTGAGAAAAACAAAGATTTAAAAAGAAAAATCTGAAAACCCGCTGAAGTGGTAGAGACATATTGCATAATAAGGAATAACAATAAAAATGACTGCCAACATCTCAACAGAAACAAAGGGAGTCAGAAGGCTATGAATTATCTTTCAAATGTGAAGAGAAAAAAAATCTGCCAACTTAGAATTACCCAGTGGGGGAAAATAATCTTTCTTAAATGAAGGCAAAATAAAGCCATCTGAAATTAAAAAGAAGCTGAGAAAATTTGTTGCCAGAAGATACTCACTAAAAGAATAAAAAAGGATAAAGGAAGTTTTTCAGGCTATAGAGAAATTATAATATTTGGAGTTTCAAATCTATGAGAAGGAACGAAAAACTTTCAAGATTGGAAACATAAAAGTGTATATAAAAGTTATCTTCTTCCTTTTCTTAAATTCATTAAAAGTCTAAAAATAATGATAATATATTACAAGGGTTGTAACATATGTAAAGTAAAACACGGCAATAGCTGCACAAAGAATGGGAGGAATTATAACTAATTTTATTATTATCAGATTTTTATATTCTATGTTAAAGGTATTGTATTAAGTCAGAGTAGACTCTTATAAGTTCAGGATCCATATGGTATCCCCAAGAAAAAAACTTGCACTTTAAATATAAAGACAGCTTAATCATAAATACACTTATAGATTAAAAATAAAATTATAATATAAATTATGAAATAAATAATAAATATAAATTAATATATATACATTAAAAATAAAATTCACCAGATATGGTGAATTAAAGAGGACAGCAAATCCTTCCTTCCTCCACCTCACAAATAAATTATAAAACCAGAAAAATTGTCAAAAACAATCATTTCAGGTGTCTGGAAATAAACCAAGGCAAATAATAAATTGAGAACCACTTTTTCATAAAGCAGTGCTAGAAGCTTAGGTAAGAATCATAGGTAACTGTGCCTGTCCTGTGAAAAGTGCTCCAGTACTACTCCAACTTAGTTGATGGTAGTTTTGCCAGTCAGGAATGGCCATGAAAATCAACAATTACACTATTAAAGAGGGTTGAGATGATTTGGAACAAAGATAAAAACTCATGCCTAGGGTTTATGTCAGTAAAAGTAACAAACTCAATCGTGTTTAAGGCTCAGGTATCCAGAGGTTACAGTTTTAATGAGGCGAACAGTGAACCTATCAGAAATGTAATGGGAAGATGCTGGGAATTAGATAGCTATAGAAGAATTAGATAAGATCTCTACACATTCCTGGCTGACTGGGAAACTACAGGTATGTACAGAAGAAACATGAGAGAAACCAGCATGAAGTAAAATCCAAGACAAACTTAAAAGCTCTCTGAATTTGAATATGGTCCCAGCACAAAGGCAGATGCATTAGCAGAGAATGGAAGCCTTTTGAAATCAAAAGTATTTGACCAAAACCTTCACCCAATCATTGACTGAACACTAAGCTGTGCAAGAACAAGGGAAACTTCTGGGATCCAAGATTTTAAAATATGAATTTTTAAGAGCTAGGTTGAGACCATGGAAG
The DNA here is from genome assembly GCF_000001405.40 of Homo sapiens. Lineage (NCBI taxonomy): Eukaryota > Metazoa > Chordata > Mammalia > Primates > Hominidae > Homo > Homo sapiens. Next base: position 719,675 of record NT_167244.2, read on the forward strand.
CCATAAATGGTGGAAGATACACAGTCCACAGATTATGTCCAATAATGTTAACAAAATAATTCTTAGAAAAAAATAAGAATATAAACTTGTCAATATAGTATCTAAAATGAGACATGCAAAGAAACAGGAAAGTATAATCAAGTCTTAGAGAAAAGACTGCAGTTAATGGAAACTGACTGTAAGTGGGACTGCTGTTGAATTTAGCAAACAGAGATTCAAAACATCTAATATAAATAGTTAAATTAAAACCATTTTTAAAGAATTCATGGACAATATAGTCTTTCATTGGGTAGGGAAGATCCACTGTCAATATAGATGGGTATCATCCAATCAGCTGGGGCCCAGATGGAAAAAAAAGGCATGAAAGGATGCTCTTTATCATTGGTTATTAAGAACATGAAATTAAACACAATACTTACAAGTCTACTAGAATGACTATAATAAGAAACTGATGGTATAAGATGTTGACAAAGATGTGAAATACTGATTAAGTGTTGGCAAGAATATGTCAAAATTGACAGAGCCACTTTGGAAAACAATTTGGCAGGTTTTTTATAAAAAAAATTTACTATACAACCCAATAATTCCACTGTCAGGTAATATCCAAGACAATTTAAATCATATGCCTTCAATGACTCTTCATAAGAACATTATTAGTAACACCCAAAAAGTAGAAACAATCCAAATGTCATCAACTGGTGAGATCAGTGGAACTGAATAGAAAGTGCAGAAATAGAGCCAAACACATAAGATCTATTGATTTTACACAAAGACACCAAGATAATTCAATACAGGAAACGATATTCTTTGCAACAAATGGTACTGGAGGAACCAGATATAGGTATAAAAACTGTACCATTATGATTTGTTTAAAAAAGCAGCCATTTTTTTTATCGCTTCTCGGCCTTTTGGCTAAGATCAAGTGTAAAAAAGCAGCCATTTTCATAATATTTTATTATATGTATGAAAATGAATTATGACTCCTATATCACAACATACAAAAAAATTAACATGGGTCATATAAATAAACATATAAGCTAGAAATTAAAAGCTTCTAAAGAAGAACATAAAAGAAAATATTTATGACCTTAGAATAGGTAAAGATTTCTTAGGATTCAAAAAGCACTTAACTGCAAAAAGATAATTGATGAATTTTGAGTTAATCAAACTTAAAAGCTTCTTCTCCTTTGAAGACGCCATTCAAATTGAAACATCAAACCACAGACTGAAAAAATAGCACAGTGCATTTATTTGACAAAGGACTTTTATGCAGAATATATGAAGAACTCATATACTTTTATCATAAAAGGAAACACTATAAAATATGGACAAATGACTTGAACAGACACCTCACAAAAGAATATATAAATGACCAATGAAAAGATGCTCAATGACTTAGTTGTTGGATAATTGTAAATTTAGAAACTACTGTGAGATTAATAAGTCTAGAGATCTAATGTATAGCCTGAGGACTACAGTTGACAACATTGTATTATATACTGGAAATTTCTAAGAGAATAGATTTTAAGTACTCTTACCACAAGAAAAGTAACTGTGAGTTGATAGATATGTTAATTGGCTTGACCATAGTAATCATTTAACTATGTATATCAAAACATCATTTGGGAGGCCGAGGCGGGTGGATTGCCTGAGCTCAGGAGTTCGAGACCAGCCTGGGCAACATGGTGAAACCCCCTCTCTACTAAAACACAAAAAAGTGGCCGGGTGTGGCAGCATGCGCCTGTAATCCCAGCTACTTGGGAGGCTGGGGCAGGAGTATCGCTTGAACCCAGGAGGCGGAGGTTTTAGTGAGCCGAGATCGTGCCATTGCACTCCAGCCTAGGAGACAGAATGAGACTTGTCTCAAAAAAAAAAAAAAAAAAAAAGGAAATCCTGTATATCCTAAGCATATACAACAAAAAATTTTCAAAATTAGCCTGGCTTGGTGGCTTACACATGTAACTCAGCACTTTGGGAGGCCTAAGCAGGTGGATCACCTGAAATCAGGAGTTCGAGATCAGCCTGGTCAATGTGGTGAAACACCGTCTCTACTAAATATACAATAATTAGCTGGGCATGGTGGTACATGTCTATAATCCCAGCTACTCAGGAGGCTGAGGCAGGAGAATCACTTGAACCTGGGAGGCGGAGGTTCCAGTGAGCCGAGATCACACCACTGTACTCCAGCCTGGGCGACAGAGTGAAACTCAGTCTAAAAAAAAAAAAAGCCGGGCACGGTGGCTCACGCCTGTAATCCCAGCACTTTGGGAGGCCGAGGTGGGCGGATCACGAGGTCAGGAGATCGAGACCATGGTGAAACCCCGTCTCTACTAAAAATACAAAAAATTAGCTGGGCGTGGTGGCGGGCGCCTGTAGTCCCAGCTATTCGGGAGGTTGAGGCAGGAGAATGGCGTGAACCCGGAAGGCAGAGTTTTCAGTGAGCCGAGATCGCGCCACTGCACTCCAGCCTGGGCAACAGAGCAAGACTCCGTCTCAAAAAAAAAAAAATTAAATTAAAAAGCTATAAAAGCTATAATGAGATATCACCTGATATCCACTAGAATGTCTATCACATGACCCTGAAATTCCACAAATAGGTTTTGACCAAAGAGAAATGAAAATACACATACACAAAAGACTTGTACATGAAAGTTTATAGCAGATTGATTCACAACAGCAAAAACTGGAAACCACCCCACACTGTTTCTCTATTACAGCATAAAAAGTTATCCCAAAACTTAATGGCTTCAAACAACAAATATTTATTATCTCACAGTTTCTATGGGCCAGCAATTCAGAAGCAGCTAAATAGTAGCTGGTGATTCTAGCTTAGGATCTTTCTTTTAACTTTTTAAAAACTTTTTGTGAATACATAGTAGATGTATCTATTTTAGGATCTTTCTTGACATTGTAGTCAAGAAGTCAGCTGATTGTATTTCTAAGATTTGGATGAAGCTGAAGGATTCACTTACAAGATGTCCCAGTCACATGTTGCACGTTTTTAGTAGGGAGCCTTAGTTTCTCCCCATATGTGTGTTTCCATTCACTGCTAGGATGGCTTCCTCCAAAGTAAACAATCCACAAAGAAGAAGTCACAATGTTACTGTGACATAGTCTTTGATGTCACATCCCATCGTTTCTACCAGATTCTATTTGTTAAAACTGAGTCACTCAGTACAGCTCCCATGCAAAGGTAAGGGAAGTAGGCTCTACTTTGTGAAGGGGATATAAGAAAATTGGGGGCCATATTTTAAAACAACCACAAACCTGAATGTTCATCAACAAGTGAATGGATGAAAAAATTGTGATATATTTAGGCAAGAGAATACTACTCACTGATATTTTTAAAAAAGAATTGGACTATTGATACACAAAACAACAGGGATGATTCTCCAAACTGTGGTACAGAGCATAACACACCAAACACAAAGAGTATGTGCTGAATGAATCTTTTATGTGAAGTTCTGGAAAAAGCAAAACAAAATGATAGAAATCAGAGCAGTGGTTGCCTAGAGCATGGGGAGAATTATTGTAAATGGGCATGATGAAATTTCTGGAGTGATGGAAATGTTCTATATCTTCAGTAGGGTAATGGTTGTCTGGATGTATACATTTGTTCACATTCAGTGAATTGTCCATTAAAATATGTGCACTTCATTATGTAAATTATACCTTAATTTTAAAAAGAGAAAGGAAATAAACCAAAGTCAGGGGGGATTGAATGAGCACATTCGAGGCTTGAGAGGAAGGCTGGAAATATGGGACACTCAGAAGGTGTGGATCAGGAGAGAATAGTGCCCTTTTACTCCCCAGTGACACGGAGAAGCAGTGGTGACCTTTTTATATGCCAAAGGGAACTCAGTTGCTGGCACACTTCCTTTGAATCTTCACATTCCTTCTTAACCATTAGTAGCTGTGGCCAATTAGCTGTCTATAGGTTATGGGGCACCTAGTCTTGGCAGAATTAATGAGCTACTTCTCTCTATGGGATGGGAGTCTTGGGATTCCTCCCCCCATCATCTCACTATGCCTTTTTTTCTGCCTTTAATGTCACTAAAAGAGAGGTTAACTTACTGGATTGAGGAAAAGAAGTCGTTAGCAAGAGTTCCATAGTAAAGCGCTAACTCTAGCTCATGTGTCTGGCAGAGCAATGGTGGAATGTGGTTAGCGCATAGCTTCTTCAGCCAGCCCACCTGGGTTAAAATTTGGTCTTTGGCGCTTACTAGCTATACTTTCCAGAACAAGATATTCAACCTCTACATGTCTTCAATTATTGATCTGTAAGGGAAGGTAATAATAGTACCCACCTTTTGAAGTTATAAGGAGCCGTAAATATGAAGCGCTTTTTTGAGTGCCCATGGAAGTAAGCACTAGCAATCAATACTCTTAACTGAAATCCAAGTTCCAATAATCATCAAGAGTATAACATTCCTCTTTAGTTTGCTTTTAGTTCTCATTGTGAGATCACAAGTGGAGGCTCCAACCAGTCCAGAAGTTCCTTTCTATGGGGAAGCTGTGGCAGCAAGGCCGTGAAGAGAGTCTGACTTAATTGCAAGTAAGTCACAAGTTTATTCCCCTACAGCCCATCAATTTCCACATGTTCTTAAGACAGTTCTGAATCAAACAGGGTCTACAATCCTGGCACTGACACTCATTGGCAGGGTAACCCTGGGCAAGTTACTTAACCTCTTTGAGACTGTTTGTTCTTCTGCAGAGATATTAACTGTCTAGCAGGGTTCTTTTAAGAAGCAGATATTCCAGGAAATTATTTAGCACAGTGTTAGTATATAGGACATCAACAGATAGTAACTGTCAAAACTATAAGTGGTTATTATTATTGAACTGTAGGGCAGAATTTGTCTCATAACTTTGTAGCAGTTAGTACATGACTGGCTCTTTGAGGACCAAAAAAGAATAAATTAATGTGCTTCTGTGTGGAGTTAATGGGATGTAGGGAAAGTAGTGCTTGCCTATTATTGGTGTCAGAGAAAAGGACCAGAAGAAACAGGGTAAGGAAAAGGCATGTTATTAAAGATAGAAAATAGGAGAGTGCAGAGGGTCAAAGGAAGATATAAACTGAAGAGATTAAGAAAAAACATACAGTGAGACAAGTTGCCAAGAGAGTAAGAATGTAAGAAATGCTGCAGTTTATGGATGAATAAAACTCTGGACAATTGCTGAGACACAAAAGATATGAGGCTGCAAAGTTTAAAAAGGAACGATACATTTAAAATAATCAGAATAGTGTTTACTTCTTCAGTGGGAGAGAAGGAGATGTGATCAGGGAGGAGAACACAGAAGACTTCTAAGATACCAGTAATATTTGATCTGTTCTTAAATCAGGAGGAGATTCAGGTACACCATGTGTTTATTATTCCATAAAATCCATAGATGTGTTTTATATACTTTTTGTTTATATGATTTTTAAAAAATTAAGGGAACAAATCTTATCCTCAAGGAGAGACGTAATGATGGAGGAAGGAATATAGAAGGAGACAAAAAGGAGGGAGTCTTGATGAAAAGGGAGATGGGAGGCAGCTTTTAACACCAGACAGGGTCCTGTGATGCAGAGGTGATTGTGCCATCCCATAAAGTCCCAGGGCACTGTCTGCCAATGAGACCACCAACTTGCTTGCCCTAAATGGCCACATCCCCTAAACGGCCCTCCTGCCATTGTCTGTGCTCAGAAAACCCTCAGTTTCTGCCTCTTACCTGCCAGGGTGGTGCCACATCCCACCCCCATCATTGAGCTTGCCTCATGTGTCTCAGCACAGTCTTTTACAGCAAAAATGCATGTCACCTCCTCCTAAAGGCTTTCCGTGGCCCACCCACCCAGATTCCTCCTTTATTGTGCAGACTCTTTCCTAACCCACACCTCATCTTAATTTATTTGCCTTCAATTCTGGGCGGCGGTGTTGGGGAGGGTCTCAATTTTCCCATGTATTTCCCAGTGTTTATTGAATACATGAGGCCATACTCTTCTAGTCTCTCTGCTTCTCATGCTAGGAACTGAACCGACCAGCCTATACTTTAAGGCTTGTTATTTCACTGACTAAGGAAAGGCTACTTAAGAGGGCAAGCTCAGACATACATAATCTGGAGTGGATCTTCCATGGGAAAACACGTATATAACAGAAATTATTGGCAAAACTATAAGTATGGTCTACAGAGTAAGTAATAATATTTTATTATTTATTTAGTTAGTTTTGAGACAGAGTTTCTCTCTCGTTGCCCAGGCTGGAGTGTAATGGCACGATCTCAGCTCACTGCAACTTCCACCTCCCAGGTTGAAACGATTCTCCTGCTTCAGCCTCCTGAGTAGCTGGGATTACAGACACCCACCACCACACCCCGCTAATTTTTTTTTTTTTTTTTTTTTTTTTTTTGTAGAGACGAGGTTTCACCATGTTGACCAGGCTGATCTCAAACATCTGACCTCAGGTGATCCGCCCGCCTCAGCCTCCCAAAGTGCTGGGATTATAGGCGTGAGCCACCACACCCGGCCAATAATACTTTATCAATGTTGGCTTTCCTGTATTTAGTAACTGAGCTGTTTTTACACTAAAAAAAAATTCTATCTTAGAAACATGAAGAAGTGAAGAGGCATTATATATACAACTCACTGTTCAGTAGCTCAGGGTAAATATAATTGCATATGCAAAGATAAAGATGTAATGATAAAAATGTCAAGTGTTAGCACTTTACTAATATAGATAAAGAACATTCAGAAATTCTTTAAATTACTCTTAAAATTTGGGGGTATGAATTTTTATAAAAATAATGTTTTAAATCTTAAATAGTGAATAGAATTAAGAAAGTAACAAATTCTAATTCCTTCCTTTTTTTCTTTAAATTCTTCTAGATCCTGAATAATTTCTACTTAAACGTCCCAATATCAACTCTCTATTTTGCTATTGACATAATCTTATTTGAGAGGCAAAAAATTTTAAAAATTATATCATCTTTTTAATTTCTAAGCCCCAGAACAAGACAATTGGCAGCATTTTTTTCATGTCATTTTGCTACATTCTACATAATGTTAAGTTGAGGTTAGGGATTTTCATTTGTGGAGGAAGCTCTTACATTTAGTTTAATGAATCATAATTTTTTTAATGGAGAAGGAACAAAATACCTCATTGATTTTTCTATGAGTGGAGTTAATACACACAGCGGAGAAATCTCTTTGTTAATTCTACACTCTGCCTCTGATTGACACCTCTGCAAACAAAGATAAAGTAGATAAAACATGAATAATTCCAGGAAACTTATGCCCCAGAATACAGAATAATTTTGCATACATATGAATAGTAGGGCAATTCTATCAAATGATTCTTTTCTAATTCTTTATGGATGTACATAATGAAATATTCAGAACTACCACAACATTTAGAATAAGATAGAGCCTAACAATTTATTGTTGAATTAATGAAGATCGGTTAATTAATCCATGTTTTACATCAGCTTTCTTTGCCCTCAACCAGGAAGTCAGAGGCACCAATGTGAGGTTCCACCTGCTTTCCAGCACATTCTTGGTTTCCTCACTTCTGCTAGACAACGTTTGATCAGAAGGAACAGGGAACGAGAAGGAGCTGCTGGATGACAATAAGCCTGGGAAAGGGAGGCTGGGTGAGCAGAGACAGAAAAGAAACACCTACCTGCTGTGACCTCACAAACACCCAGGCTGAGTTTTGATAAGACAGGTTGAATCACACTGGGGTGACAGCCTCATCCCTCCAGGTACAAACAAGAACAGGCCATGGTTAACCAAAGCTCCCCCATGGGCTTCCTCCTTCTGGGCTTCTCTGAACACCCAGCACTGGAAAGGACTCTCTTTGTGGTTGTCTTCACTTCCTACCTCTTGACCCTGGTGGGCAACACACTCATCATCCTGCTGTCTGTACTGTACCCCAGGCTCCACTCTCCAATGTACTTTTTCCTCTCTGACCTCTCCTTCTTGGACCTCTGCTTTACCACAAGTTGTGTCCCCCAGATGCTGGTCAACCTCTGGGGCCCAAAGAAGACCATCAGCTTCCTGGGATGCTCTGTCCAGCTCTTCATCTTCCTGTCCCTGGGGACCACTGAGTGCATCCTCCTGACAGTGATGGCCTTTGACCGATACGTGGCTGTCTGCCAGCCCCTCCACTATGCCACCATCATCCACCCCCGCCTGTGCTGGCAGCTGGCATCTGTGGCCTGGGTTATGAGTCTGGTTCAATCGATAGTCCAGACACCATCCACCCTCCACTTGCCCTTCTGTCCCCACCAGCAGATAGATGACTTTTTATGTGAGGTCCCATCTCTGATTCGACTCTCCTGTGGAGATACCTCCTACAATGAAATCCAGTTGGCTGTGTCCAGTGTCATCTTCGTGGTTGTGCCTCTCAGCCTCATCCTTGCCTCTTATGGAGCCACTGCCCAGGCAGTGCTGAGGATTAACTCTGCCACAGCATGGAGAAAGGCCTTTGGGACCTGCTCCTCCCATCTCACTGTGGTCACCCTCTTCTACAGCTCAGTCATTGCTGTCTACCTCCAGCCCAAAAATCCGTATGCCCAAGGGAGGGGCAAGTTCTTTGGTCTCTTCTATGCAGTGGGCACTCCTTCACTTAACCCTCTCGTATACACCCTGAGGAACAAGGAGATAAAGCGAGCACTCAGGAGGTTACTAGGGAAGGAAAGAGACTCCAGGGAAAGCTGGAGAGCTGCTTAATATACTTTCGAAAGTAAGAAGAGTTTCTTCAAGATTTATGAACATGTTAAGTTTTCCAGACTACTACCCTTCCCACATACACCTGAGCCACTGTGGTGGGTCACAGTGTGGCTATGTTATCTATGAGAGGGAGAATGAGAAAGAGAGGGACAGAGAGATAAAAGAAATTGGGTGAGAGGAGATAGGTAGCTCCATAAGGCACACAAATTCAAATATTATCATTCCTATCACTGTCCATTCTTAATATTTCTATCCTCCATTCTGTTCTTTTTACTGTCATCACTTCTATAGATTTCCTAACTCCACCATGCCTATTTCTGGTTATATAATTGCTCTCCAATTGTCATGTCAGTGTAGGGGAACTACTCCATCATAGCATTCTGGACACCTTGCATGTATCTACGTAGGTCATGTAAGCAAAGGCTTGAAGAACAGCTAATCTGAGATTTAGAAGAATGCTTTTTGATCCTCCTGGAATATGAGAGGATGGGAGGCCCTTTAGAACCTGCCTCAATGCCATCTCTCACTCTCCTTCTTATATCCCTGGGAGTATGTCATGTGACAAGTCTTTACTGTCTCCCAGGTTTTGGATGGAGCATGGGGTTTTCTGCCCCACACCCTTTAGGATATAGCTGAAGAATATAATGAGGAATAGCTGGATTCTAGAACTGACTCCTCACCAGTGGTATATTCCACAACAGTGTCACAGTCGTCTGGCCCCTTTGGTTTCCGTGTCATCCTTTTTGGTGTGTAGGACAAGGAGCCAGGGAATTGGCACGTTTGGCTTTTACTTCTTTTTTATATGTAAATAATAAGCCATCTAAGTGTAAAAGTGGCTCATATCTTCTCCAGCCAAATCAGCTAGGCCATGGCCTTGCCTTGCTTCTCATGAGTGTGCTTGACAGTCATCACCGTCACTCTATCTTCATTTCTGGTTCTTACCGTGTTAGCTTAGTTCATTCAAGCTACTATCACAAGCTACACATAAATTGGGTGGTTTATAAATAACAAACATTTCTTTCTTACAGTTCTGGAGGCTGGAAACTCCAAGATTAAGGCAGATTTCATGCCTATTGAGGGCCTGCTTTCTGATTATAGAAGGTGACTTCTTGCTGTGCCCACACATGGTGAAAGGGACTACCAACTCTCTGGAGTCTCTTTTATGAGGGCACTAATTCCAATTATGAAGCCTCTTCCCTCGTGACCTAATCACTGCCCAAAGGCCCCATGTTCTAATGCCATCATCTTGGTGGTTTAGGATTTCAACATATGAATTTTGGAAGGACATAAGCATTCAACCCCCTGCACATGTCTTCTTTCCTACTTCCTCAAGGTTCTTTCTGTCCAGTTGCTCCTTCTTCTATTGACCCTTTTTTGCCTTCTCTTTCTCCTTCACTGCCTCAAGTTACAGCCAGAGGAAAGGAGGAACTAAAACTTAGCAAATCTATAATCACATGCAAATACACAGAATGGATTGTTACAACCAAAATGCAGGCTCTATTGTTTTCAATTTAGCAGCCTTTCAAATGTATATGGTTCTGGCCACATTAAAGTTGCAAATAACACTTTTTTTGAGACTGAAATAAAGGTGAAATATTGGAAGGAAAAGTTTAATGTTTTATTTGTAGTATTTTTTTCCATTTTCCACTAAAGAGTCCAGAAAAAAAAAGCAAACATAATATAACCTTTGAGTTATAACAGAATATTTCAACAAGAACTTTGTTGCTATCAAGTAACCATATAGTATAGGTTACACAGAACTCCTATCTTCTGGATTAAGACTCCGTCTTCAAAGTATTTGGGCACCCTGGTTACTGAACATGAGCCAGAAGAAAATGAACTGCTTTTCCTTAAGCATCTCTCTACCCCTGGGTCACCTCCAGTGGAGTGGTATGTCAAGAAATGTAATTTGTCCTTTCTGATGCCATAATCTACCATATTTTTTTAAATTAAGTCATGCCAGGAGGAGATTTCTCTGCTCCTCATCACATGTTTCCACCAGAAACATGGGCAGCTCCGCATCTTGGGCTTCACCACCTTTAAGGTGAGGTGGATGGTCTTCTTCTTGGAAATTTCATAAGACGATAGCATTTTCTTGGGCTTTGGGGTCTTAAAGCCCAGCAGAAAAACCAAGTCCTGCATGGGAACCTTGGTCTTAGACCAGAGCTGTTCACCTACCTTCTTCACTCCATTTTAGCAGCCAATGTCATTAATTCCCATTCCTCACAATTGACACTCATTTAGGCAATTCTATATAAAGTTAAAATATTCTTCAGAAACGAAGATGAAGTAAAGATATTCTCAGTGAAAGTAGGTATCACCAACTCATCTGATTTAAAAGAAATGCTTTTAAGCATGGATTGCACTGCTTCAGGCAGAGAGGAAATAAAACCAGAGGGAAAATCAGAATATCATGAATGAAAAAGGAACAACAGAAAGAGTAATTATCTGGGTAAATGCAATCGTATATTATTCTCTTTTTGAATTATTTAAAATATGTATCTCTGTTGGAACTAAAAAGTACAACACTGATGGGGATTCATACAAATGTAATACATATGACAATTACTGAATAAACTAATAATAATAAATGGATCTATTCATTCTAAGTAGACCATGAAAGGGTAAATATTTATATCATAATCCCTAAAGCAACAATTCCAATAAAACAAAAAACCATACTGTTGTTATAGGCGTTTGAACCAGAGTGACTCCATCTTGAGTAGTGGCTGGGTAAAGTAAGGCTGAAACCTGCTGGGCTGCATTCCCAAAAGGTTAGGCATTCTCAGTCAGAGGATGAGATAGGAGGTTGGCATAAGATATAGGTCACAAAGATCCTGCTGATAAAACAGGATGCTGTAAGGAAGCCGGCCAAAACCAAGATGGCAATGAAAGTGACCTCTGGTCCTCCTCACTGTTCATTATACTCTAATTATAATGCATTAGCATGCTGAATGACACTCCCATCAATGCCGTGACAGTTTACAAATGCCATGGTAATGTCCAGAAGTAACCCTATGTAATCTAAAGAGGGGACGAACTTTCAGTTCTGAGAATTGCCCACCGTCTTCCCAGAAAACTTATGAATAATCCACTCCGTGTTTAGTATATAATCAAGAAATAACTGTAAGTATACTCAGTTGAGCAGCCCATGCCACTGCTCTGTCTATGGAGTAGTCATACTTTATTCCTTTACTTTCCTAATAAACTTGCTTTCATTTTATGGACTCGCCCCAAATTCTTTCTTACATGAGATCCAAGAATCCTCTCTTGGGGTCTGGATTGGGGCCCCTTTCCAGTAACACAGTGACATCAACAAAAATAACAGAGTAATGACTTCCAAAAATGACCTACTTCCTAAGAGTAAAATGAACTATGGAAGAATTGTCAGAATTAATATTGTTTAGAACTCTAGAAATTAACCAAAGGCTTGCTGCAATCTGGAGAGTGTTTGTTCAAGAATAATAGCTGAATCTTGATAAGAACAGTGAGCTCTGTGATGTTTTAACTGGTTCCACTCCTGTTCCTTCCTCCTCAGCTCTTAAAAACCAACGGTCCACAATCATGGTGAAAACCAGCAGACATGAAATCACTGGAGGGGACACAATAGGGTTACAGATCCTTTAATCCCTTATTTCCAGAGGACTGTTATTATTTTACCTGTCTGGTTGTTCCCTAGAACTCACAATGCTATCCTTATTTGACTTGACTCAGAGCTATCCCAGAGAGAACAATGTATTTCCTGGGGAAATGAGTAAAAAGAATCATAGGCAGTTGTTGAACATCATGGTTGCCGATGGTCATAAATAACAGTTGGAACAAACAATAGCCTAACCAAGAACTTAAAAACGAAATGTCAGGGAATGAGATGCCCATAAAGGGGATTGAAAAGCCTTAATATACTCCAGAAAGTTCCGACGGCCACATGCATGCATAGATGTGGGCATGACAAGTGCTGCATATATGCTTTGAACAGACCTGAGCAGGCTCTAAGCTCTAACCCTGAATAAGTTTGAGGCACTGCACAGACAGGAAATGAAGGCTAGGACACAGTGTAAACTGCTTGGTTGGGCTTTGAAGACCTGTATCTACCTGCACACAGAGCCTCTCTACATACACTGGGAGACATTACTTCCAGGAACCTAAGGAAATCTTTGTCCAGTCTTTACCTGGCCACTAAGCTAACCAAGCAGAGACTTCAGTGGCCACGTTGAACAACAACAACAACAAAAACAAAACAAAACAAAAAAACAAAAAAGAACAGACTTGACAGATAGTTTTTAAAAACCTGATCAAAAAACATCCACTAGCAATAGTAAAATCTGGGAACAGAAAAAATATGACTTCCAGAGTTGCCACATTATACTGTTTAAAATGCTAAGTTAAAAAAGAAAGAACGAAATAATACAACATGCAAAGAAACAATAAAGTAAGGCCCATACACAGAAAAACAAGCAGTTAGTAGAAACTGTCTCTGGGACCAGGCTCTGAAGGAGGTGTCTGCCTCAGTGCATCCAAAACAGCCAGGTAACCTTTGCTTTGGGACTGAAGTAATGGCTCTGATTCTGAGATGAGAGCTCACACTAGCCCTTAATTTAATCTTTACTTGAGGTGAAATTCAATGGATTATTAGAATGGGCCCTAATCCAGTAGGACTAGTGTCCTTATAAGAAGACGAGATTAGGATACAAACACCACAAGGGACAACGATGTGAGGACACAGGGAGAAGATATCCATCTAGGAGCCAGGGAAAGAGTCCTCAGAAGAAACCTATCCTGCCCACTCCTTGATCTCAGACTTCCTGCCTCCTAGAACCGAGAGAGAATAAACTTCTGTAGTTTAAGCTACTCGGTTTGTGGTCTCAGTCACGGGAGTCCAAGCTGATGATCACAGTTGTGATGAGAACTTTACAAATTGAATCATGGGAAGTCTTGCAATAGTGAGATCTACGACCTGGTAGATCCTATAATCCTATAATCTGAGATGCTGATTCTACAACTCTGAGCTGCTAACGCTTTGCTTCTGGGTCACAGAAGCTTCTGGAAATAAACTTGTCCCACAAACTGATAAATGCCTGTGATTTTTCTAGAAATATGCCACAGGCAACCCTGGCATCTGCAGTCACATGTCAGTATATCAGTGGGGTTTCAGGAGAAGTTTAGGGATCAGCTCCAAGTGAACCTAGTGTTTCAATCTTCCCTCCTTGCTGGGATGATGGAGTCCCCTTCAGTCAAGGCTCTGTTGAAATGAAAGGGTCTGTTCCCAGTTCCACTCTTCCCACCCAGGGTTCTGGACTGTTAATGGTTGTCCTTTTTTTGTTTTCTTCCCGTTGATTCTTTTACCATCTTCCTCCTCTTACTGATTTTGCGTGAAGGGGGGTTTTGATGGAGGTAAGGTAGCTGATAAGAAATGAGGTAGTGAGAAAACTAGTGAGGGGTCTTCTGGCTGTCCCCAGACAGTCCTCGTGTGGTCCCCAGCCCAGCCTGCAGGTTCTGGGCTGGCTACCTCTTGGCCTCTGTGCTGTGTGTCTAGAGCTGGCCTCTAAGGGAAGGGCCCTGTGAGACCTGGCAGAACAGGGTAACTGGTCCAACAAACATCCCTCCTTTCCTCTGGCTCCACAGCTCAGGATTAGATCTAGATAGCATGTCCAGTAGGTGCCAGACTACCTCATTATATCCTGTGAGATGGGCCCAGAGGGCCTTGAGGTGGGTAAGCTTGAAGCTGGGCACCCAGAGCCTGAGACTGACAGTTCCTCCCTCCCTGTATCCTGCAGGAGGGGCCCTGTCCCAACAAGAGCCCCAGGGCCTGGTCTGAGGGTGTGGATGTGGGGAGAGGAGGGTCTGTGGGCCCAGGAGGGGGCATTTGTAGGGGACATTGAGTACTGCAGCTCAGAAGACATGAATGACAGGGTGGGAGGTGTCTTCCATGTCTGTCCATGGCACAGCACCCCTGTGATTCCCAAGGGCTGCCAGGGGCCCATTCATCTGAGCTCTTTATAGATCCTACATATGAGTCCTTCATCAGATGTGAGATTGAAACCACTTCCTCCAGCCTGGAACTTGCCTTTTCATTCTCCCCACAGGGTCTTTCAAAGTGCACACATCTTATATTTTGATGAAATCCAATTGATCAATTTTTTCTTTTATGCATCATACTTTTTGTATTCATCCAAGAAATATTTTCCTAACCATAAGTTACACTGATATTCTCTTTTCTTTTCTTACATACAGCTTACAGCTTTAGGTCTTACATTATGGTTTATGATAAATTCTGAATTAATTTTTATGTATGATGCCACGTATGGATTGAAGTTCTGTTCATATGTGCATATGTATATCCAATAATTCTAAGGACCGTTTGTTGCTAAGATTGTCCTTTCTCCACTGAATTTACTTTACACCTTCTTCAAAATCAATTGAAGATATATGTTAGGGTCTATTCTGGACCCTCTTCTGTTCTGTTGACCTATTTGTCCATCCTGTTACCAATATCACACCATCTGGATTTCTGAACCTTTATAATAAGCCTTGAAGTCGGGTATTATAAACTGTCTCACTTGCTTCTTCTTTTTTCAAAGTTTTTTTTTTTTTTTTTAACTATTCTAGGTCTACTGCATCGCCACACACAGAATCACTTTCTCATGAACATACATACATGTGCACCAGAAATATAAATATATGCACATCAAGACCAAGTGAAATTTATCCCAGGGATACTAGGCAGGTTTAACATGAAAAATGAGCCAATATAATTCACCACATTAACAGATTAAAAGGCAAAAACATTATTTCAGCAGATTCAGAAAAAGCATTAGACAAAATCCAATAGGCTCATAAAAAATTTCAGTCAACTAGGAATAGAAATGAAGTTTCTCAAAATGATAAAAGGCAGCTACCAAAAAAAAAATCCTATGGTTGATATTTAGTGGGTATTACCCTTAATAATGAAAGACTGGATGCTTTCACCCCAGATGAGGAACAAGCCAAGAATGTTGGCTCTCACCACTTATTTCAGCGTCTTAAGAAGATACCATCAGGGCAAAGGACTCCTTCCTTAAATAGACACAGATTTCCATGTGGAGTCATTATTCTCTTGCTGGATGTATGTCTTTTACCACTTCTCAGTCTGCATATCTCCTGGTGATGATTTGTTTCATCTTTTTTGTGTCTCCAAAAACCTCTTTATTTTGCCATCTCTTTGGGAAATATTTTGACTGTGTAAAAAATTTTAGGCTGACAAATTTATTTCTTTTAATATTTTAAAGAATTTTCTCCACTGTCATACAACTTGCAACTTTCCAACAAGAAATCTGCTTCATTCTTATCTTTGATTTTCTGTACATATATGTCTTGTTCTTCTCTGGCTGTTTGTAGGAGGACTCAGTTTCCTGGGCATAGATATGCACGGGAAAGATGCAGTAACTACATCAAGTGTGGTGTTGTCCAAGGGTGGATAAATAGGCCAACAGAACAGAGCAGAAGGCCCAGAGACAGACCCACATAAGTCTAAACATGATTGATAACCAAAAATCAGAACAATAGTGAAGGACTATATTTGTTATAAATGTGCTGGGACCATTGGATAACAATCAGCTAAGTGGGCCAAGCAGCCTTTTGGCTTAGGCTGAAGCAGGATAATAATGTTACCTATTAATAGAGTGTGAAAACTGGCTTCATGTTTTCACAGTGATTAGAGCAATATTGAGATACAGTAAATCATCAGTGAACATATTTGCTCTAGTTGCTATTGCTACTATTCATCTTCCTGTCCCGTGCAGCGTCTTATGGTTACCATGATTCAAGTGCCTCCTGGTGAGGCCGAAACTCCACAAGACACTCTGGTCAGTCCTGGGGTACAGTTTCTTCCAGGTGGCAGAGGCTCAGTCCTGGTCACCCGCTGATCCCTTCTCAGGATGTGCCACACAGTTCTGCCCTACTGCGGGGTGAATGCTGGGATGCCTCTCTCTTTAAAAATTCCAAACAAGGGAACTGGTGTGAGAGGGTGGGTGCCTCCACTCCCTCAGCCCTTATTTCCAGGTGGGGATCACCCCAGAGGAGTAATTCTTGAGATGTGGTCCCCAACACCTTTTTAGGGGAAGGGAGGCCGACATAATCTTCAGGTAATACTTGAAGTATTGAAGTGAGTCTGTGTTTCTCACACTCATGCACTCCTGAGTGAAAGTGGAGTTTTCCAGAGACTGTATGAGGTGAGATGAAGCCGCCAACTGGAAAACTACACCAATGCAGAAGCAGCTGTGAATGTCCAGCTTGCTGCTGGGCCTCTAAGAGGTCTGCAAAATACAAAACCATCTTGCTCTTCTCAATAACATAACTTTTTAAAGAAAACATAGTTATTTTTTCTAAAATTTATTCATGTTTACATGGAATAGGCATACAATTTATGTTCTAAAGGAGTTAATAAGTAAACATTTGTAAAGTTCTGAGTTATAATTACTAATACTGTAAATATTGAAAGATACAACCCTGATCCACAAAAGTTCTTTGAGCTGCTCAATACTATTTAAGACTGAGAATCTCAGGTCTATTTTAAGCTCTGGGCTCTCTCTCTTTCCCCGCACTTTTTCCCTCCCGGGGAGAAGGAAAGAAACTGATGAGTGAGTTTGGAAGAATAACCTGGAGTGAGTGCTCCCTTCACCAGTGGGTGGTGAGTTCCCCAGAAGGACTGCTTTCCTCCAAAGAGAGATGGGCAGGAAGAGGGAGGAGGGATGGGATCCTCTGGAGTAGGTACCATTTAAGGGGCACTTTTGAAAGTCAGTTTTTTAGACATCCAAGCCCCTTTCTCCAGTTCAATTTTAGGAGCAATAGAAGTAATGCATTGTTCTCCATCTGACACTGTCCTCATTCCTTCATTCACTTTCATCAGTAGTTCTCAATTCCAGAGGGAAGGAAGGGGATTACTTACTAAACTGTAATAGTCCATACCTAGCCTTGACATTTTTGTTTTTCTGAGTGAGTGAGAGAATTCAGGAAACTGAGGACTGTCTGTGTTGCCAGGAGCTCATCAGCTGCAAGGATAATAGAGACGTTTCCACAAAAAACTAAAGAACCATAAGCCAGATGCTCACCTCCAAGGGAACTGTTGGCCCAGGGTAAAGGCACATAAAATGCCCAAATTGTATCCCCTGCCTGAACATAGCAGCAGCCCAACTCTGTGAGATCAACCTGCCTCTTACTTCCAGGCATCCAAACTTCACGGGCTAAAGTCCTAACCCTGAATGTGACAATATTTTGAGATAGGGCCTTTAAAGAGATAATTAAGGTTAAGGAGCTCATAAGACTGAGGTCCTAATCCTAAAGAATTAAAATCCTCATAAGAATAGAAAGTGTCCCCAGGGATGTGGGTACACAGAAAAAGGCCATGTCATGACACAGGGAGAAGGCGGCCATCTCAAGTCAAAGAGGGAGGCCTCAGGGGAAGCCCACCCTGCTGATACATTGATCTTGAACTTCCAAGCTCCAGGACTCTGAGAAAATAAATATCTGCTGTTTGTAGCCTAATCTATGGCATTTTGTTAGAACAAAACACGCTGACTAAAGACAGGCAGCCCGGATCAGCCCTTCTGTGCTCTAGGGCCAGGGTTTCTGCCATTCACTTATCAAAGGACAACATCAAATTATGTAAATCAAACTCTGTTTCAAATTCTAGTGTGATGTGAAACAAACTAATAGGAGATATGAACATGTCCCTATCAATTTTGTCATTTACACTAGGCAGAAATCAATATGATCCAAGTAACAGCATTTAAAGAATTGCTGTAATCTAAACATCTCAGAATTGCTTTAGAATGTATCACATTGAATATCTAAAATAAGAGAATGTACATTGCTTACCAGTATCACTGGCACATTTACAAACCTGAGCAAGTTTTCGGCAACAGAGAAAACAGTGTGAATTTCACATAACAGTCATAGTATTATACAAGTGACATTTTCCAAGTGAGTAAAAAACTGACAAATCAATTACAAGAACACTGGGAACAATCTCCAAAGACGTGTTCGTCGAATTCTAGTTAGAATATGGTTGGGAAGCCTCAAGAAGGCAGAGACAATGAAAACATGTGGAAACATGCAAGGTGGAAAGGTGGACTAGTGAGCGATGGATAACATCAGATGATGGGGGGTTAATGTCAGACTTGCAGGGCATTTTGCTACTTGCTGGGAATTTGCTAGGGTAGGAGGAAGGTGTGGCCTCTGCCCTACTGGGGCTTCAAGTGCAAATGAGGCAGGAGTACAATAAACTGATAACAACACACAACACAGAATACATAGAAAATAATTATAGACAATTATCTTCACATTAAAAGAAACAAACCTTTTAGAGAAGAGTCAAAAAGGGGTGGAGATTTAAATGGGGTGGTCTGGACAAACATCTTTAAGGAGTGAAGGGTGAAAAAGAGTAAAATGTACAGATAGTGTTGAGGGAGTGCTCTAAGCAGGGAAGGGAGAAAGGGACCTTGCAAGGTTGGGCGCGAGTCTGGTGCAAACAAGGGAGAGAGTGAATCCTGTGTGAGGATGTCATGGGACAAGGTCAAATGGTGCACCTGAGGACAACTCAGGGGGTGGACACCATCCTGAAATCTAAGAGTTACGCTGGCTGGGGTGCAATTGAACAAATGAAGCAGGGTGATGTGCTGCTGTGATGGCTATAGAGCATTGACGGGATGGAGCTGGGGCTGGTCAGGGGCTCTCATTAAGGTTCTGACCATGGTGGGTGCCGGGCAACACCCTGGTCAGGGTGGGGAAGAATGCATGACATTCTGCAGGGTGGGATTCCTGTGAAGAAGCACAGGCGCTAGATTGTGTGATGAGTCTGGGAAAAACACAGAGAGTAGCCTGTGCGTGGAACCTGGAATGAGCAGAGTGAAACAGCTTGGAGAAACCAGGCTGTAGGCCAGACTGCCAGCGTTAGATCTCTCCACAGTGAGCAACGCCAGAAACAACTTGTTATGGCACTCTTACTGAATCGCTTTCCTGGCTTTTGTAGGAAGGGATGGATGGAAACTTGAGGCCATAATGGTGGAGGAACATCAGGATCATGAATCAGTCTCTGCCCAGGGGTCCCCAGGAAGGATGGACTGGGGTGACAGAGGACAGAACTCCGAGCAAGGTGACTGAATAAGGATGAATGACACTTGTCACTCTCAGAAATATGGAGCTTGCAGAAGCCAGGAAGGTTGAACTAGTTTACAGTCCCACCAACAGTGTAAAGATGTTCCTATTTCTCCACATCCTCTCCAGCACCTGTTGTTTCCTGACTTTTTAATGATCACCATTCTAACTGGTGTGAGATGGTATCTCATCGTGGTTTTGATTTGCATTTCTCTGATGGCCAGTGACTATAAACTAGTTCAACCATTGTAGAAGTCAGTGTGGCGATTCCTCAGGGATCTAGAACTAGAAATACCATTTGACCCAGCCATCCCATTACTGGGTATATACCGAAAGGATTGTAAATCATGCTGCTATAAAGACACATGCACACGTATGTTTATTATGACACTATTCACAATAGCAAAGACTTGAAACCAACCCAAATGTCCAACAATGATAGACTGGATTAAGAAAATGTGGCACATATACGCCATGGAATACTATGCAGCCATAAAAAATGATGAGTTCATGTCCTTTGTAGGGACATGGATGAAGCTGGAAACCATCATTCTCAGCAAACTAGTGCAAGGACAAAAAAACCAAACACCGCATGTTCTCACTCATAGGTGGGAATTGAACAATGAGAACACATGGACACAGGAAGGGGAACATCACACTCTGGGGCCTGTTGTGGGGTGGGGTGAAGGGGGAGGGATAGCACTAGGAGATATACCTAATGTTAAATGATGAGTTAATGGGTGCAGCACACCAACATGGCACATGTATACATATGTAACAAACATGCACGTTGTGCACATGTACCCTAAAACTTAAAGTATAATAAAAAAAGAAAAATAAAATAAAATAAAATAAAATAATTAGCTGGAAAAAAAAAAAAAAAGAAGAAGCCAGGAAGGTCTGCTTTGCTCCTGACCTGCCTTTCCAGAGGGTTTCCATGGGAATTGAGAATAATGGGCTATCAACAGAAGCAAAGTAATTTTGTCTTGAATTCAGTCAGAAATCTGGTTACTCTGAAAATACACAAAGGTAATAAATAATCTCAAGAACATTCACCCTGCTCCTTGGAGGATCCAGCATGTTTTCCAGACATGATCCCTTTTACAGCCTTGTGCATAGGCAGTCCCTGCCTTTGTGGAGGAGCTGAGCCCCCTAGAAGAGCAGTTTGTTTCCAGCTGTGAGGCTGAAATCTGCCCTGGGATCGGGGGCCTGAAACGCCTCATTTTATCCATGCCTCCATCTCACTCAACAAAGCCCTCTGAAAAACAGCCTTTAGGGACTCCCTGTGCCTCTTCCTGTAGAGTTACTCAGCCAAGAAGTAGATGACTAGGTGAGGCATGCTGACCACAATGGACAGTAGCAACAGGAGGTCAAAGGCAAGGGTCAGAAACTTTCCTGGCAGGCACACAAGGACAACTAAGGGCAGGACCCAAAGGAAGAAGCTGATGATCACAAAGCAGACAACATGATAGGTCCTGATGGGGGAACACCACTGGGGACAGCACAGACCCCAGATGATCAGGATCAGCTTGGACATGCCCATTACAAAGCAAATAAGTACATGACATGTCATAAAGCCTCATGAAATTGGTCACATGCCAAGCACTTCTCCCAGTACTCACAGACCTGGCTAACTGCATACAAAGAAAGGGCCAGGGCCCACCTCACCATGGCAGAGGTGTGCTCTGGGCGGTGGCAGCACCAGGTGGGACAGAGGGCACAGAGAAAGCTCTCAATACTCATGGCCACCAGGAGACAGAGACCCACTGTGTCGGAGAAATAGGAGACAGGATCCAGAAACACAGCCACCTGCAATGCCGCCTGGTGATACAGCATGAGGATTTTCTCCAGCAGGATCACAGTTACACAGGAGAGGTTGACCATATCAACAGTGGCCAGGTTAAGGATGTAGGTCACATAGGGGCTGCTCCAGACCTGTGAGTAGAGAAGCCAGCAGATCACATCATTGCCTACCAGTCCACAGAGGGCCACCAGCACTGTCAGGGAGAAGACCACCTGCCTGTCCACCAACCACTCACCTCCCGTATGGCTCATGTTCACATGTCCTGAGGTCTCAGTCTCATTGTCCCAATCCAGCTTTCCAGAGAGGGTTGCGAGAAGCTAGGCTATGGTGGGCTACCTTTGCTGCCTGCGCACATCCTGCAAAAACAAAGGCTGGTAACATACCAGGTCTGGAGAGGAGAGTCAGGGTTGCCCTCTGTCCTCAGAGGTTCCTGCTGAGCCTCATGAGATTGGCAGGGATTCTGCAGAGCAGAGTGGAGGAAAGGAGCAAGCTTCTTGTGGGAGACCCATCCCTTCCCTCCCAGATTCTCCATTGCAGGATGCCCTCTCATGCATACCCTTACCCCTCTCTCCACCGCATTCAGTTATCCCTGATGCTTCATGCTGTGCCCAAGGCCCAGTGTGTATCCCGTGCACCCAGATTATCTATAAGGCTGCATAAAAAAATACATTTGTTTACATTAGCCCATAGGGATGGTTCTCCAACTTTCCCACTGGTACAGGCTGTTTTTGTGACATCGTTTTGGTGGGGGCACTGAGTGACTACTTTACCTTGAGGTTCTGAGACTCCTTGAGTCCTGGATGGGGAGGTTGCTGGTCAGTACTCAAGGGAAGGGCTCCCAACCTTGCTCCTGCTCACCTCTTCTCTGTTAGCTCTCAGGCCTCCTCCCTGGACCTTTGCACATGCTGTTCTCCTGCTTGGAAGAGCCTCTGTGCCTCAGTGAGCTCGGTCTCCTCCTTCCAGTCTCTGCCTCAGGGTCACCTTCCAGGTGATCTTCTGCTGATCAGCCTTTAAACATTGCACTCTTGACCTGCTGGCAGTCTATGATATTCACTTACTTGCTTTTGTGGGAATCATGCCCTGGAATGGAAGTTCCATGAGAATTTACTTTGTCTTTAAAATTCTGTTCACTGCCTTTTCTCCAGCCCCTGGAACAGGGTTTGACACTGAGGAGCTACTTGGGGAGGGTGCCTGCAGAGGACTTAAGTTGCTCTGTTACATGTAGGTGAGAGCAGGG
Organism: Homo sapiens; assembly: GCF_000001405.40. NCBI lineage: Eukaryota > Metazoa > Chordata > Mammalia > Primates > Hominidae > Homo > Homo sapiens. The sequence continues at coordinate 742,553 of NT_167244.2, forward strand.
GACCCTGCACACCAGAAGCTGCTTCATGGGGTCCCGAGGGAGACATGCACTTGAGCCATGGGCTCTGTCCACTTCAGGAGCAGGCACTCCGCTTCAGGCTGCCAATCACAGGTCTTTGTGTGAAGAATTGTGCAGGGAGGGCAAAGGTACCACTTTGCCTTAGAATTTCCTAGTTTGTATTCCTGAAAATTCCTTGTCCTGAATATCCCGATAGCCCTGGGAAAACCAAGCTGGTTGGTCACCTAACTAAAAATGAAACGGGAGAGGATCAATACCTCTTCTGGGAACCCACAGCTGAGTCAAACCTAGTAACCTGGGAGTTCAGGCCAAGGGTATGAAAGCTGATCTTATGTGGGCAAATCACAGCTATCTTTGATAAGCAGTGGATCCTTTTCTGCCTCAGTATTCCCAGCTATCTAAGGGTTGCTGTTATTAGCTGAATTGTGACCTTCTAAATTCATATGTTAAGGTCCTAACCCCTAATACTTCAGAATGTGACTGTGTCTGCAGACAGAATCTTTGAAGAGGTAATTATGTTAAAATGGGTCTTTAGGTTGGGCCCTAATCCAATAGGACTGGTGTCCTCATGAGATGAGGAGATTAGGATTAGTTAAACACACAGGGACAACCATGTAAGCATGCAGGGAAAAGACAGCCATCTACAAGCCAAGGAGAGAGGTCTCAGAAAGAACCGACAGTGCCGACCCCTTAATCTCAGAATTCCAACCCCCAGGACTGTGACAGAATAGACTTCTATCATTTAAGTCACTCAGTCTGTGGTCTTAGTCATGGGAGTCCAAGCTGATGATCACAGTAGTGAAGAGAACTTTATACATGGAATCATGGGAAGTCTCAGAATGGTGAGACGAACCTGGTCCTACAACCCTGAGCTACTGAAGCTTTGTTTATGGATCACAGAGGCTTCTAAAACAAAGATTGTTCCACAAATTGATGAAAGCCTAAGATATGCCAGGAAATATCTCACACGTGACCCTGTGATCTGCAGTCACATATTGGTGCATCAGTGGGGTTTCAGGAGAGTGCTAGGGACCAGCTCCAAGTGAGCCCAGTGTTTGAATCTTCCCTCCTTGCCAGGATGATGGAGTTCCCCTTCAGTCAGCAGCTCTGTTGAAATGGAAGGGTCTGGCCCCAGTCTCGCCCCTCCCTGTGCCTGTTGCCTAGACTTTCTTATCTGAGGCCAGGAGAGGAAAGCAGATCCAGCTTATATCTAATCTGGTCATAAGACGAGGCTTGGGGCTTAGTAACATTGGTGTCCATGGAAACATCAGGCTGATGTGCGGTTCTGTGCCCAGGCCAGGGTGTCAGAACTCGTGATGGTGACAGAAGAGAAACTGCAAACAGGACTCCATGGCCCACCCCAGGCCACCAGGGCACCAAGCAGGAGCAGCTGGGCTTTGGTCTCCAACAAGGAGAGGAGATTTATAGATAAAATAGTTTCATGGGAAGAAGTGACTTCCCCTCCAGCCAGAAGAAAAGATCCGCTATGGAGGTGGCATGTGGCCTCAGGGGCAGAGTCATGCTTCCCATTCCTGAGCTCATTGAAACCCAGCTCATGCCCAGAGACGACCACTGAGCCCAGTGACTGAGCAGTACATTCTTCATTGTCACCTAGGAGGAGGAGGCAGCCCTCCTGGGGTGGAGAGGCCTCGGCATCTGGTGTGGCCCCAGCACTGGGCATAGAGACATCCTGGTACTTGGAAATGTCATTTGTGGTCTTGGGAATGTCATTTCCAAGTTGGGTCATGAGCCAGGCTCCCCAAGGAGTAGATACAGCAGGCTGGATCCTGGGATTCAGGGAGCCAGCGCTGTTGGAAGTGCTCAGTTTGGTGCAGCCAAAATAGCCAAGTAGCCTTTGCATTGGGATTGAAGTATTTGCTCTGATTCTGAGGCGAGAGCCCACCCTCCCCACTTAATTTTTATCTGAGGTGAAATTCACATAACATAAATTAACCAATTTAGAGTGCACAGTTCTGCCTCACTTTGCCTCTTCACAATATTGCGCAACCCCCAACTCTATCTAGTTCCAAAACATTTTCATGCCCCATAAGGATGCCCTTAGCAGTTACATCCCTTTCTCCCTCCCAGCTCTTGGCAACCACCATCTGCTTTCTGTCTCTGCGCATTCACCCATTCTGGACACGTCCTATTAGTGGAATCAAACCTTCCGTGACATTTTGTTTCTGTTTCTTTCACTCAGCCTCATGTTTTCATGGCTTGTTCATGGTGCAGCATGTGCCAGAACTTCATTTTCTGTGTTAGATGAGAATTAAATACGAATATAGAAGCTGGGAAATTGGAAAATCTGAAAGGTTACACCCAGAAGTCATAGACCACACCTCAGTAACACAGTGGCTCAAATCCTACTTCTAACAGAAAAACACACCCTCTGCCCATCTACACAGCCAGGGCACCTGTGAACCAGGGACCAGAACACAGAAGTAGCTCACCCACTGGGGCTACCTTGGGAACCGCAGGCCCTCCTTTTTCCAGGAAACTGGTTTCTATCCTGTCAATCTTCAAATGCACCTTCCTCAGTAAAAAAAAAATCACAAGGTTTTAAATTTTTTTAAAAAATGAGTCTTTGAGTTAAAATGCTTTGAAAATGAAAAAAAAGGTAGAGACCTTTTTTCTCATACCTGGGAGGACTTGGACGGACTTGGTATCACAGAGGCCAACCTCCTGAGAGATCAAAGTTCTGCCCTCATGTCAGGAAGCTCTCTAAGCATATCTGCTTTGAACTGGGTCTTGACAAGCAGTTATCAAGTTCCCTGTGTCCCTTAGGTCTTCCTGTACCAGGGCCACTTGCATATCAGAGCCCAGGCCTTTAACTGAAGCATCTTTATCTCAACATCTCACGATATCCCCCAATCCTGTCTGACTCTATTACTCTGTCCTTAAGAACTGTCCCCTGAAACAAAGAAGAATCTTTAAGAGAAGTCAGTCTCTCCACTTTAATGCATCTCCCAGACTGAGGTCCAGCCCAGCCCAACCCATCCTAGAAGGCAGAAGAGGAAAGTCAGGTCAGCATTTTCCCAATGAACTCAGGAATTCCAGTAGCTCAAACGTGCTCCTTGGATTTTGTCATGAATTGAATTGCATGTTTTGTAAAGTAAAATTAATGTAAGAACTTTACTTTGCTGTCTTCTCAAAGATCAATTTGCTCTTTCTTGATTTTCTCTAGTGCATGTTTGTTTTTGTTGGAAAATTAGTCATGAATGATCCATAAACATAATGTAAAGAAGTCTTGGGAATGTTTTTGTGCTGTGCCACTTACCAAGCAGGTTCTGACACAACATATTGGCAAATTCTTACTGAAAGCCAGATCAAGCTCACACTCCATGTATCCTCATGCTATTCCCCTCCGTTCACCTACAGCTGTTTGTGAAGGAGCCAGCTGATCATTTCATATAGACTTTTGTTCACATGTGGCTCAACTTGAGAAAAATGAGATGGATGCAAGGCTCCTTTCGTTGGTTTCTCTAGCAATTCATGCATTTCTAGCTTGAAGTTGCTTCTTATCCCTGCAGGAAATAATCTTTTATTATATTCCCTCTTAAAACCTTGTGGTTAAATGTGATTCACATAGTGGGGCAGATGGTTTCTGTATGGTTCTACAGTGACCAGGAAGGAGAGATATATAAGAATGAAATACACTATGATCAAAGGGTGACAAGATGTTAAAATACACCCCTCCTTGTCCTTCGGTGCTGACTGGCTGTTTACCTCACTGCAGAGATAGAATCTGAGAAGACCTCAAGGTCACATAGGGAATGTGACTTTATGGGACAGTACTGATCCTCCCTACAAGGGAGCCATTAAGGGTCTAGAGCAGCTGTTACCTTTGGTCCTATCTCCTCTATATTTCATGTAGTTTTTATATTCAAGAGATTGTGGATCTTGAATTTTTTTATTATATGTACCCAAATTATTTTTTCATTATTATTATTTTTTAAATTATACTTTAAGTTCTGGGATACATGTGCAGAACTTGCAGGTTTGTTACATAGGTATACATGTACCATGGTGGTTTGCTGCACCCATCAACCCATCGTCTACATTAGGTATTTCTCCTAATGCTATCCCTCCCCTAGACCCCCACCCCCAACAGGCCCCAGTGTGTGATATTCCCTGCCCTGTGTCCATGTGTTCTCATTTTTCAATTCCCACCTATGAGTGAGAACATGCCGTGTTTGGTTTTCTGTCCTTGCGATAGTTTGCTGAGAATGATGGTTTCCAGCTTCATCCATGTCCCTGCAAAGGACATGAACTCGTCCTTTTTATGGCTGCATAGTATTTCATGGTGTATATGTGCCACATTTTCTTAATCCAGTCTATCATTGATGGACATTTGGGTTGGTTCCAAGTCTTTGCTATTGTGAATAGTGCCGCAATAAACATACGTGTGCATGTGTCTTCATAGTAGCATGATTTATAATCCTTCGGGTATATACCCAGTAATGGGATCACTGGGTCAAATGGTATTTCTAGTTCTAGATCCTTAAGGAATCACCACAGTCTTCCACAATGGTTGAACTAATTTACACTCCCACCAACAGTGTAAAAGCCTTCCTGTTTCTCCACATCCTCTTCAGCATCTGTTGTTTCCTGACTTTTTAATGACTACCATTTTAACTGGCATGAGATGGTATCTCATTGTGGTTTTGATTTGCATTTCTCTAATGACCAGTGATGATAAGCCCTTTTCATATGTTTGTTTGCCACATAAATGTCTTCTTTTAAGAAGTGTCTGTTCATATCCTTCACCCACTTTTTGATGGGGTTGTTTGTTTTTTTCTTGTAAATTTGTTTAAGTTCTTTGTAGATTCTGGATATTAGCCCATTGTTAGATGGATAAATTGCAAAAATTTTCTCCCATTCTGTAGGTTGCCTGTTCACTCTGATGATAGTTTCTTTTGCTGTGCAGAAGCTCTTTAGTTTAATTTAATTAATTTGTCAATTTTGTCAAATTTTGTCAATTTTAATTAGTGTAATTTGTCAACTGAACTAAAATTTGTCAATTTTAATTAGTTTAATTTGTCAATTTTGGCTTTTGTTTCCATTGCTTTTTGTGTTTTAGTGATGAAATCTTTGCCCATGCCTATGTTCTGAATGATATTGCCTAGTTCTAGGGTTTTTATGGTTTTAGGTCTTATGTTTAAATCTTTAATCCATCTTGAGTTAATTTTTGTATAAGCTGTATAAAAGGGGTCCAGTTTCTGTTTTCTGCATATGGCTAACCATTTTCGCCAACACTATTTATTAAATAGGGAATCCTTTCCCCATTGCTTTTTTCTGTCAGGTTTTTCAAAGATCAGATGCTTGTAGATGTGTGGTGCTATTTCTGAGGTCTCTGTTCTGTTTCATTGGTCTATATATCTGTTTTGGTACCAGTACCATGCTGTTTTGGTTACTGTAGCCTTGTAGTATATTTTGAAGTCAGGTATCGTGATGCCTCCAGCTTTGTTCCTTTTGCTTAGAATTGTCTTGGCTACACAGGCTCTTTCTTGGCTCCATATGAAATTTAAAGTAGTTTTTGCTAATTCTGTGAAGAGAGTCAATGGTAGCTTGATGGGGATAGCATTAAATCTATCAATTACTTTGGGCAGTATGGCTTTTTTCACGATATTGATTCTTCCTATCCACAAGCATGGAATGTTTTCCCATTTGTTTGTGTCCTCTTTTGTTTCCTTGAGAAGCAGTTTGTTGTTCTCCTTGAAGAGGTCCTTCACATCCCTTGTATGTTTTTTTTTAAGAAACAGAATCTCACTTTGTTGCCCAGACTGGCATGGAGTGAAATGATCTCGACTCACTGTCTCAAATTCTTGGTTTCAAGAGCATCCTCTGTTCCCACTCTCTCATGATACCTAATACTGGTGATTATCAGGCTCAAGTCCTGCCTATAGTCATGTATCTGAAACACAATTGGGATTCTATCCAGGGACTCTTGTCCACAGGACACCCCTAATAAGATTGGCCTCCCCCATATAGTGTATCTCTTATGCTTTTCTACCTTTGAGAACCAGCACTATTTGCTTCTATCACAGTAAAAGCCACACTCAGATAATTTTATAAACATAAATCTAGGCCCTGGTTTAACAACAATGGGCATCAATGTATGAGGCAAGCTTATCTAGTACTAGGATTCCAGTTTGCTGTGTAGCATTCCCATAGAAGGCTGTCTTTGCCTTTTCATTCAAGGATAAGAAAATATTTCCAGTTAGAAATGTTTTTGGCTGCCAAATAGAGAAGCTCAATTAAACTAATTTTAGCAGTCAGTGATGTATAATATTGAAGCACAAGACACCTGTAGATAGGGCTGCTGCAAGATGTTCAAGTCAGTGGCACAATGTCTTGAAAAAATTAGAATTATCCACTTTTACTTCTGGCATCTTCAGAATATTGTCCTCATTCCTCACTGGGCATGTTTTCCGAATGCTTAGGATATGACTTCATACTCAGAATATGATATAAAAAATGCGAGAAAAAAGAACTTCCTTTCCTTCCATCTCTTTTTATATCTGTGAAAACTCTTCTTAGAGTCATACCACATAGAATGTCCTGCGATATCTCATTGGAATGCCCTCACCATAACCAACACTTAGGCCTTTTTCACCTACCCCCAAATTATATACACCTCCCTCCCTTGTCCAAGTTAAAATTAAAATATTTGCATCTATTTGAAATGCATTCATTATTTTGTCAAGAACTGTATGTACCTAGTATCATCTTGTTACTGCCTCTAGCTCCATTCTGGCACCCACGTGACAGGCATTTAATTCCATTCATTCAGTGAGTGTCCTTTCCAGCTAGACATTCTTGGGTAAAAGAACAGACAGAATCACACTTGTTGTCAGGAAAGTAAGTTCCATCACTCTCAAGCTCACAGTTCTCTGTTCTTCTCATTGGAAGGATTCACCTAATCTATTTAGTGAATTGTCCATAGACACTGGAACTTCCCTCTGGGAGATTTTCCTTATTTGGTTTATTCCGTGGCCACACCTGGGTGTTTGAGGTGAAACACCTTTCTAATGTTTGTTCATATTTCACAATCCCATTTCTTTTGGCAAAAGGTCAGGGTTCAGGTTTGGACCTTTGGGTCTGAACATATGATGTTATTGGCCATGTTATTTTCACTTATTAGTTTGATTTTATTTGTTTTATTTTTTCCTTTTATTTTAAGAGGTGGGGAGTAGTAATTTCATTAAAAACTTTTGTCTTACAAATTCCCTGGAAACAATCTCATGAAAATATTTATCAATGTAATTTGTGTGTGTGTGTGTGCGTGTGAGAAGATTCCTGTTCCTAGCTATGGGCACCAGTTCCTGCTAAGTCCTACTTCATGGCTTTGCCTTGGAGAAGTACATAACAGCTACAGGTGTGAAAGTGCCCAGTCACCCAATCCCTCCCAGATGCATCTCTGCAGTAGGGACAGTGGGATTTTCTGCCTTGGGAGCAGGTAAAACCAGTATTGTTGCAATAAACACCCTGTCACGGATATCACTTGGTAACACTATTTTGTCTCTGTAAAATGGAGCAATAAAACTTTAAACGTTGATTATAAGTGTATGTGTGTTTATAATTTTAAGGTACAGTACTCAATTTTTCCCCAACAAAAGCAATAACTTAAACTCACCACTTTGGTTGCAGAAGACATTAAATCCTCCATATTCTTCTGTGTGTCCAGCCATTAAAGCTTATTAATAACAGGGGTAGAAAATCATATCTCATTATGCAGTGCTCCTGATGACTAACAAAGTTGAATAATTTAACCGTTTAACAAAAAAGATTAAAGTGGGCTTATACTTCACACTATCCTCCAGTAAAAAAAAATCAAATTGATCAAATATTTACATGTTTACAAATGAAATAATTTAATAGTATAAGACAGCATAGATTCATTTTATATTATCTCATGTAGGTAAGACTTCTTTAATCATAACTCAATACATAAGCCATAAAAGACTGACAAATTCAAATTTATAAAAACGGTGTGCTTGACAATAACATGTTTTTAAAATCATAACCGAAGTAAGTGACCAATGAAAATGTTGGAAATTGTATCTGCAGCTCAGACAACTGAAAAAGGACTAATCTGCTTATAGATGGAGAGCTAACAGAAGTGGAGAGACAAAGACCTGTCCACGAGAAGTCTCATGCCCCTTCCTTCACTCTGACACCTCCTTAACATGCTCCTGAAATGTCAGCATCATGAGACATGAGCTACACAATGATGCAGTATGGGAATTAAGAGGTAACCATATATTTTAATATCAGACTTGAATGAATCTTCTTTGTTTTGAGTAACATGTACACATAATTGAATAAGCACATATAGAAATCATTAAAAAAAGTTATTTGACAAATTACACCTTAAAAGGAGACTATACATTATTTTAAACACCATGGTGGACAAAACTGACCATGTCTTCAGCCACAGAGTAAATCTGAAAGAAATACAAATAATAATATTAATAATAACATTTTGTTGGTTATATTATTTGACCACAATAAAATAATATATACAATAACTAGAATTTAAAGCATATATATATATAAAGCAATATTATAGAATGGCAATTCTAGTCCTTGAAGGATTGTCTAAAATCACAGATATAAAATTAATAAGGCTTAAATAAAGGGTATGTACTTAAAGGGAATGCAATTTTTATTCAAATTACAAAGAGGTATTATTAAAACAACTTATTATGTACAAAGCACTGGGACATTAAACTGAATCATGAAGTAATGACTTCAACCTCACAAAACTTCTCGTCTTCTAGGGGAAGCTTAAAATAAGACCAAAATGGTGGAACCATTACAAATTACAATAATGTTGTAAGAAATAAAAGATCAATAAGACCAGCCAGAGAATGTGATCATAGAAATGCTCTTAAAGTTGACCTTTTTAACTAGAGATAAAACATGGAAAAGGCAAAAACAAGGAAAATTGTGAGTGACATAATTCCTCACAGAGGAAAGAAAATTTGCAAAAAGGATGTGTTCCATTTAACAAAAGAAACCCAATATGAGAGTTTTGTAAGCAATGTAAGCAAGATGAAGAATTAAATGGTATTAAGTTGGAGAGAGGATGAGGTAAATTTGCTTTCTTCAAAGTAAAAGGTTTGGGTGTAAATTCTAACCTAGTGAGGAGGGATTATATTATCCAACGTAATGTTTTTGTACATTTATTCAACACACTGCAACATATTCATCATCCTTACTAAATAATTGTTACACATGTTGTAAATAAAATCCAAGGAGTCCTGTATATTCATAAGGTTAATTAATCCTCACACCAACCATGCATATTAAATACCAACTTTATCCTCCTCTTGCATAAGATGAAACAGAGTTACAGAGAGTTATTTGCCCACAATAACATGCTTTGAATGGGAGAGCCAAAGTTTGGACAAAGGCAATCTGGGTCCAAAACCCTGACTCTTACTCTTATGTGATGATGCCTCTTGGTAATTCCGACAAGCTCAAGCTCTATCTAAGGAGGAGATAGACAAAGGGAGGAAAATCTGTGGCTGGATTTGGAGGATGTTCCAGGATAATGATTGAGAATAATGCATGGCCTTTTGTATGGTCTTTATTTGGGATTCCACAGGTACCAGGAAAGTCTCACTGGGTCCCATTCCCCTCATCGTTGGAACTGGAGCACATTCAAACTGGGCTTACTGCCTAGGAAGGAAGTTAATGTCTCTTCCAACCACAAACAGCAAGGGGTTGTTTTGAAAGTCCATGAAAGCTGAACTTGATTAGAATAAAGCATTGATTTGATGCAGCAGCCTTATGATGCAGAACAGGCTGGGTTACTATGTGTACAATTCCCCAGCTCAGATGTGGGAAATTATGTTTCCACATCGACCCTGTGCTCCCTGGGAAGAAGGTTCTCCACATGCTGAGTAGAGTGTGGTTGCTCCATTGGGTCGATGCCAGCTGCCTTTTTGTTCCTCCCCACCTCTGGCTTATCTGCTAACGCCCGTTGGAGAATCACTCTGAGAGATTCCTTCAGCCTTTTCTTTCTGAGGCTCCCCACAAAGAAATAAATGATAGGGTTGGCGCTGCTGTTTATAATGAGGAACAAGGAAATTAAATAGGAGGTGGTGACAAACATTTTGAAATCTGTTATGAGGGGTGCCACGCTCAGGGGTAGGGCCCAGAGTAGGAACATGGGGGCCGAGATCTGCACCACCGCATAGACCCTGGTGGCCTTTTGCTGCTGGGAGCAGCACAGGAATCTAATGAGTAGAGTCAGACTCGACACACACATCACAAGTGAAAGGATAGCATGGAAGAGCCCAGAAAGCTTTAGAAATATGACACATGCCTTTACATGTTTCCAGTAAGTTAGGAAAAGTGATTTTACTATGTTGATGCAAAAAGGCAGGCCCCAGATGAGGGTGCAGACAACATTAGATGTGTATTTTGGGCGGTGGCATCTGTACCAGATGGGGAAGAGGACACACACACACCGCTCTGTGCTGATGGCCACCAGGAGACAGAGACACACCTCAAAGGAGAAGGGAGACAATATGGCCAGGAAATCAGGGATAAAAAACACGACTCCATGATAAGTTAGCAGAGTCACCTGTAAGAACCCCACTGCCGAGCAGCAAAGATAGATCACGTCAGCAGCGACCAGGTGGAGGATGTATACCATGTAGGGATTCGTGGCCCCACAGCAAAGCAGCCAGAAGACAGTGCCATTCAATAAGACCCCACAGAGGGAGACCAGCACAGCCTTGGGGGCAATGATATTCAAGGGCAGGGCCTGCTGTCCCACTGCCATGCTCATCTGCATATGTATGGTTTCATTCGTCTCATTTTGAAGAAAGACGCCACAGAGCTGAGATACCAGGTTTGGGTTCTGTGCCTCCTGGTCACCACTGTGGAGACAAAGGCTACATGAGAGAGATATCTGTGACTCAGCAAACACTGTCCATCCAGCCCTCTGGCTGAACCAGCAAATTTTCCCCCAGACCATGGGGTGCTGGGACCTGAGTGGGCCACAACATCACAGTCAGGAGCAGTGGTCCATCTAGTGGTGTCCTCTGGCCTCAGACCCCTTGCCTCTACATTTTCCTAGGCTGGAATAGAACACCCATTGTTGGGTGTGCTTTTTAGGAACAGCTGAACATTAACTACATATCAGAGTGGATGGGAGTATCTGCTCTGCAAATAGCTCTCCATGAATTTGTGATCTGTTCTCCCTCCCCTAACACATCTCCTGTTGTACAGGATGCCCCAGGCCTACCCACATAGACCCAATATCTTGTTGTTGGGCACTAATGAGGCACTAAACATTGGGAATGGAGATTTGTGTCTGGTCCAGGTTCTACTCATGAGACACTAGTGTCTCATCTCTTTTTTTTTTTTTTTTTTTGAGTTGGAGTCTCACTCTGTCACCCAGGCTGGAGTGCAGTGGCGCGATCTCAGCTCACTGGAACCTCCACCTTCCAGGTTCAAGCGATTCTCCTGCCTCGGCCTCCTGACTAGCTGGAACTACAGGCACCCACCACCATGCCCGGCTAATTTTTTTGTATTTTTAGTAGAGATGGGGTTTCACCATATTGGCCAGGCTGGTCTCAAACTCCTGACCTTGTGATCCACCTGCCTTGACCTCCCAAAGTGCTGGGATTACAAGCGTGAGCCACGGCACCTGGCCATGTCTCATCTCTTTCAAACCCAGTCCTGGGCATCCTTGGGTAGCCATACAGGATGCAGCAGTGCCACAGTATGGCATTTCCCTGGGCTCAGACAGGTACAAGGGAGCACTGAGATTTCCAAGGCAGGCATTTCACAGCAGTTGGCACCAAAGAAGTCCTTTCTATGGCTGGCAGGACTTGACCTGGAAAATAAGGAAATCTGCGTTTCTCCAGGGGCGTGAGTCTCAGGCAGTGTCTGTGTGGGCATCATCGACTGCTATGCTCCAAATGTCAGCTGAGGAGAAGGAAATGAACAGACTTAGGGTGCAACAAATACAAAAGAGGCCTAAGAATATTAATATAAATATTAATATAGAGAATAGTATTTTAATGCTATGTAAATATATTAATATAGAGAGACTAGCATATTAATACTATGTAAATATTTATATATTAATAAATTATATTAATATAACATTGCTATATTAACATGTTATTAATATTGATGTTAATATATTCACATTATATATTTATGTTAATATATTAATTATATTAATATAACATATTCTCAATTATGCTATCAAGGATATTGATAATTAATATTGACATTAGTTTATTAATATTTATGTATTTATTTATTGCTGTTGTCCCAGGTTTATTGAAAATAAAATCCAGTGACTGCTGTATATTACAGCATTGGAGAAAGAGTCAAACAGCTCCACGAGGCATTTTGAAATTCATCCCAACTGTAGGCCGAGTGACCTGCAGGTTGGACAGGCTGCCAAAGTCCAAAAGCTTCAGCATTTCCTTAGTGTCAGGATCTACTTCGATGATCTCCTGATCCAGGGCTGAGACCTTGGGGACATAATTGTCCCTCCTTTCTTTCTCCTCCTCCTGTAGCTTGATGGAGATACCTCTCACTGGACCTCTCTGAATCTGGTTCGTCAGATGCGTGACGCAGCCTGCTCTCCTGTTGTGGAGCTTCTTGCTGAGGATAATGGGGATCTCCTCACACACACTTGTTTGTGTGGAAGTCATTGCCCAGGCACATGTAGTACTTTTCTACGATGACCTAGGCCACCTTCGTCACAGTCTTGATGCCAACACGACCCATGTTGGTGGGTCTTTGGTCATTAATATTAATTGATATTAACATTATTCAGTTTATTAATAATGTATCATTAATAATATTTATACAATATTAGTAAAATAGTTTATCAGTACATTTTAATGTTGATATGCTTTCAATATTAAGATATTAATGTATTATTGATTACATGTGAATATATTAGCATATTAACAGTATATATTAATATATTTGGTATACTATATTAATATTATTTATATGATATGAATATGCTATTAGTGGCATATTAATAACAATATATTAATAATATAATGTGATTAATAGTTGTATGTGATTATTAATTATTTATGATTATATTATGATTAACAAGTAGTACTATTATATCTTGTTTCTAATGAATAATTATTATTAATATTCAAAAAACTAATAATAATTGTTATTTTTATAGAATCTGGAATTGTGGAGCAGACTTCGCAAGGCTTCTCTGACCTCTGCCTCCCGCTCTGGGATCTGTGAAACACACTGGGCTCTTCTTCTAGACCTCCCTTTTTGAAGCTCCTCCAAAGACCGTTTCATCATCTCTACTCAACAGTCTCCTCAGGAAATTGCCTCTTCAGTAGGCAAATGTCACTTGCCACAAACTTATCTTTGGCATGAGGATAAGACAGTGCTAAGGTAGAACTGTCTGTACCTTCTTTGGGTTTACATTGTGATAACTGCAAGGAGAAAAATAAATTGGGCTGAGTGGATAGAAAATGATAAGGGTAATGGATGTTTCCTAGTGGGATAAATGAGGGGAGTTTCTTAGTAGGACATGGAGATCTGAATGACCTACTGGAGCAACCAGGTGACAGCCAGAAGGAAAGAGCCACAGGCAGGCTCAGCAAGTTCACCACCCTGGGGCAAGTGGCTTCATCTGCTTTGTTAATCTTTGATGCTCCTGTCCAGAGAGGGCCTCTTAAGCAACTTGAGTGCAATAACTATTTTTCTATTATTGCGTTAATAAACCCCAAGAAGGTCCCTGCAACTCTAGAGAGTTAAAGACTTATAGGCCATTTTCAAGATTGGAGAATATTCTTATCTCAGCCATCAGTGGACAGAAAGGGGCAGCCAGGCCCCTTCAGAGCAGCACTGAGCTACTGTCCCTGGAGTGGTGGGGCCTGACCACAGCTTCCTCTTTCAACCATGGAATCCTTATCACTATTTTGCAAACACCAAAGATGTAGCCTCAGATGTGAATCTACTCACATGCTGGAAGTTTGTCCATGATGTTGAGAGCTCGTTTAAGTGGAAGATCCTGGATGAGTGCAGATACAGACTGTGAGCAGGAGAGCTCTGCTCTGTCTCTTTTCAAGACTCTGAGACAGAGGCCAAGAGCCTAGCATGCAAAACACCTCAGACAATGCATCCAGGGTAGGGGAGAACTGATATGAACCATTCACCCTTAGCCAAAAACCTGCTCACCTTGGGCAGGTGTGGTACCTCAAGGCTGACCACAGACTAGAGGAGATCTCATGTGTCTTCCTTAGAGAGATTCCTGTCCACCTTCCTGTCTCAGGAAGATGGATGGAATCATTTCATTGGAGGATGCCAACATCCCCTGTCCAGGGCCCACTGCCTGAGCCTTGGACATTTCGGCTGAGCTGGCTAGGCCTCTGAGAATCAGCCCTGATGACCCTTGATGCCCCACTATGGAGTCCAGAACACTGAAGAACTTAGGATGCTTGAGAGGTGAAACGCTCTGGGCCCAAAGAGATCAGACCATCCTTTCCTGAGATCCTGAACACTGATAATGACTTCTCATACTTTAAGACAGCTTCACAGATGAAGTTGCCAGAGAAGCTGAGCTCACTAAAGCAGGATGTATCTGTAACAAGAAAAAAATCCTTAAATGAGTTGCTATAGCTGATCCATGGGAATGCCCAAAAAGATGTTACAGATTTCACTAGGGCTTAATCTTAGTCCTGCAGCACCAAGTACACACTCTTCCTCCTACTAACCTGGGAAGAGCCAGTTCAGGGGAGAACGGGAGGGAATAACCCAAATGTCCATTAACAGAGAGTGCCAACAGCTTCCAAAATGTGTCTCCAGTCAAGGACAGGCCAAGATGACTCATCAAAGAAATGCAAATCAAAACCACAACTAGATAGCACCTTACGCCTGTTAGGATGGCCATTCTGGAAAAACAAAAGATAACAAGTGCTAATGAGGATGTGGAGAAAGGGATCCCTCACACACTGTTGGTGAAAATGCAAAATGGCGCAGCTGCTGTGAAAAGCAGTATGGAAATTCCTCAAAAAATTAACAGTAGAACTGCACCGTATGGTCCAGAAATCCCACTTCTGAGTATTTGTCCAAAAGAATTGAAATCAGGTTTTCAAAGAAATATTAGCACTCTTATGTTTGCTGCAATACTATTCACAATAGCCAAAATGTGGAAACAACCTAAAAATCCATCAAAAAATGAATGGATAAAGAAAATGTGATATAAACATAAGATAGAATAGTATTCAGCCTTTAAAAAGGAAGAAATTTGGCCAGGTGTGGTGGCTCACGCCTATAATCCCAGCACTTTGGGAGGCCAAGGTGAATGGATCACGAGGTCAGGAGTTCAAGAGCAACTTGACCAACATGGTGAAACCCCGTCTCTACTAAAAATACAAAAATTAGCTGGGCATGGTGGCAGGTGCCTGTAATCCCAGCTACTTGGGAGGCTGAAGCAGAGAATTGCATGAACCTGGGAAGCGGAGGTTGTAGTGAGCCGAGATTACACCACTGCACTCCAGCCTGGGCAGGGGAGGGAGACTCCATCTCAAAAAAAAAATGGAAGAAATTCTGTCATATATGACAACATAGTTGAACCTGCAGATCATTATGGTAAGTGAGATTAGCCAGTCATAGAAGAATAAATCCTGCATGCACTTAAATAGGGTATCTAAAATAGTCAAATTCATAGAAACAAAGAGTGGGATGGTTGTTCCCTGGGCTGTAGGACAGGAAGTAGGGAGCTAGTAGTCAGTGGGCATAAAGTTTCAGTTTAACAAAATAGATAAGCACTAGAGCTCTACTGCACAAAAGTAGTAGTTGCCTATAGTTAACAACAGTGTACTGGAATGTTTTTGCAACTGAAGCTGCTTCATCTTTTTGAGCCTCTGGTATTTCCTCTGC
This sequence comes from Homo sapiens, assembly GCF_000001405.40. Classification (NCBI taxonomy): domain Eukaryota; kingdom Metazoa; phylum Chordata; class Mammalia; order Primates; family Hominidae; genus Homo; species Homo sapiens. Next base: position 758,480 of record NT_167244.2, read on the forward strand.
AAAATTAGAATACTGATAATACCTACTTGTGGGTTTGAAAATTAAATGGGTGGATAGCATGTAAGTGCATGGAACAGTGATGAGCATATAGTGAGAGATGAATGAATAAATACTGTCCTGTTGGGACAGATGAATGTCAATAAGCAAATGCAGTAAATTGGATCATTTCAGACGGTGCTTACTACTCTGAAGGAAAAAAAAAAGTGGCAGTGGGATGGACTATCTTAAGGAAAACAGGAAAGACAGTGAGCCACTTAGGTTGGTCCTTTCTGAGCTGACAATATTTTCTGGCTTTTTCAGGAAGCCAATCCTGGGAATATCTAGAGGAATAGTGCTGCAGGTAGTGGGAACAGGAAGTACAAAGGCGCATAGGAAGAACAGTCGTATGGTTGAAGAAAAGAAAGAAGGCCAGTGTGGCTGAAGTTTAGGGAGGGAAAGAGAGAGTGAGAGAAATAAGCTTTTAGAGAGGTAGGCAGGTGTGGAATCATATAGGCCAAGATAAGAAGTTTGAATTTTAAGTGCAATGTCCAGGTGTTGGAAAGTTTTAAGCTCAGATAATAATATTATCTGGATTTATTTATTTCTTTAGAGACAAGGTCTCACTCTCTCACCCCCAGGCTGGAGTGCAGTGATGCAATCACTGCTGACTGCAGCTTCCACCTCTCCAGCCCAATCGATGCCTCCACCTCAGCCTCCTGAGTGGCTGGGACCACAGGCGTGTGCTGCCACATCTGGCTAGGTTTCTTTTTTAATTTTCTAATTTTTTTCTTTTTGTAGAGATGGGAGTCTCCCTTTGTTGCCCTGTGCTGGTCTCAAATTCCTGAGCTCAAGAGATCCCCTCCACCCCGACCCCACAAATTGCTGGGATTACAGGGATGAGTTGCCATGCCCAGCCAAGGATTTGCATTTTAAAGATCACTACTGTGCACTTAAAATTATTAGGATAATAGATCTCGTGTCAAGAATTCTTACCAAAATGAAGCAAAATTCGCACACAAAAAAAGAATAAGCAAGGATGGATTCCAGTCCCCAGTCCTCAAATGAAGGGTTGCACTGTCCTGATAATGTTCTTTCCCTTGGGGAAAACACATCTAAAATCCTTGCAAAAACTCCTCCGAATTAGAGAGATGAGAAAGAGAGTCAGATGAAGAGAGAACACAGTTCTCATCTTACCTGTGACATTTTTCCTGGGGGCAGGGGTAAGTCAGGGGGCAGTGAGGCTGACACAGACACAGAAGGACAGGTGACACCTCTGTGGACCAATGGTCTGGAATTGTCTTCCTGTCCTCTGAATATGAGCTCTCTCTTGGGCTTCCAGAGGTTACTGGACCTTGAGCAACTTTGATCAAGATTCCCATGTGCTCCTTGTTTTTCTTCTGGCCAATGAGTGGCTTCTATCTGTGGGGACAGATAGCTGAGCATCCCGAGGTTTATCACATGGTCAGCTGCTCCACTGTGGCTTTATGTGCCCAGGCAGGTCCTTCCTGTCTCCATAGGGCTCCTTTCTCTTACTCTGGTCAGAGCTCCGCATAGCCCTGGCAGCCCCTGACTCCCTCATCCTAGGGACAGGGAATAGGGCCTTGCAAGGAGTAGACCCAGTTCCAAGTTGGATATGTTGAGTCAGTTTCTAGTGAGCTGAACTTCATGGCATTGCTCTTGATAAACACAAGATCAAGATCAAATTCAGAGAACCCCTCAGGCAAAAGCTTTCACCATGCTTCACTCCCAAAGAAAGCACCCCTTGAGGGGTGTTCCAATACAATTTGTGCAGAGAGAAGCCAGTAATGTGGCCCTTTCTTCACCTCAGTAAGAAAAGCTTGGCCCTAGCCCTCACAGTTTGAAAAGAGTGTCCTCCTATTACAGGCATGGGTATGTATTGGGACTTCTGTGTCCACATTTCACCTGCATTCTCAACTCTCAGGGACCACAGCAGGTCTGAGAGATTCTGCCTGTCTTTCTGACACACATCGGGTCAACCCTGTGCACTGACTGATGTCTTAGGACTCAGATTCGGGGTTGCCATGAGCTCACTGTCATTTTACCTTCTCAGTACTTTTCCCTTGCTCTGATCTCACCTGCCACATTCACTTTAAGAATGCACATTTCTAGATTATTGATTTTCCAACTGAGTTGTCCCGAGGGCTGATGTTCTGTAAACAGTTATTTCATTTTCTCTGTTCAAAGATGGTTTGTACCCACCATCTTCATGTAACAGTTTCTTGGTCACTTACCATGTGAATATGCAGTCTCTGGGCATGGAGTCCCCTGGACTCTCAATATCTTGTGTCCTGTTTTGCCACCTGATCCTAGTTAGGACAGGCACTGAAAATCAACACCAATGACGTATTGTTACCCTGAGAGAAAATGTCTTGCTTAAGTGTAGAATAACATTTTCTGTTGTCTCTTGTCACCCCTCCTAGCCTTTTCCCCACAATCCCACAGTCATGTTGATGCATGCTGAAGGGTGTTATGCCCCACTCTGTTCCTCCCACACTGACCGGCTTTTCTCACCCATCAGCTCTGAAGTACAAGAGGCTCCTGGACTTCAAGGTGCTCTGCAAGCTCCTCACCTGTATCTGCCTCCCAGTTTCCACAGTGCCCTTTCATGGCCTTTCTCCTGGACATACGAAGTGTGCTTCTCAGAGGAGTTTTACTTAGTGGAATTATCTGTCTCTTAAAGTGTAATCTGTATCTTTTGAATGAAAAAAAAAAGACCTACATTTGTTCTCTCTGGTATGCAGACACCAGACTCTTTTGTGACCCCTGAAATCAGTTTCTCTGTTTCTGATGAACTCTGGAGGTTTTGTCACTGCTGCTGCACTGCTTTACTTGATTCCAGGAATTCGTCCTTTGTCCTCTGTGGAAGTTTTAGTTCAGGTCTCATTTTTTTCCCTTAAGCACAAGACCCCTCCCTTAATGTAACACCACACGTTCTCCAGCGCAGGCCATCTGTTCTATTGAAGCGATTCCAACAGCTTCTGCAATTAACTTGTCAAGAGAAGGAAGAAAAGAAAGAAATGAAATGGTCAGGTATCCCTTGAAGATTCTGATGGTCACACAGAGGGAAAGAGCCTTGTGTGTGGGACCTTGAGTGTCAGGCCACCTCTTCTCCAAGATGGGCAGGGTTTGGTCCATCTTCCCAAATGGAGCTAAAGATCCATGCTGGAAATTTCCCTGCTCTAGAACAGACAGCTTGGAGTGATGAGTCATGATGAAGACCTTTCTATTGATTCTTCATTGCTGGGGTTTCCAACCTACAGGGATGAGGACTGATGCATCTGTGAATGAGCATGCCATTCCCTGGCAGACACCTGAGTTCATTGCTTGCTAAGAACTTGGTTCTACATCACTTCTTCTGAAATAGAAGGGCCTGCTGGCTTGTCAGCAAATAAGCAAAGTTTGGCTTGCTGTTTGGAGAAGCCTAATTTTATCAGTGTCAGCTCAACATTTAAATTTGAAAAAGGAAATTCAGCATAAGCAAGGTTCACATTCAGGTGTATGCTTAAATTCTAGGTATTCATCTCATTCATGAACTCAATCAGTAGCCAGAGTTTCCAGGATGCCTAGGGATTGCCCCCAAGGATCAGTGCTGGTTTGCAGCTACAATACCAGAGTTTGACTCTGATGCCACACTCTGAGGGCAGTCCTCACCTATTGTGATAAAACCCTTCAGGTCCTGTGGCGTAGCCATGGCCCATCCTGGACATGTTTAACTTCACCCACCAGGCACCCATCTCACTAAGAAGACTTTGATGTTCATGAGAAATGAATTTCTGCTGCCTACAGGAAGGAGATAGGACTTCTCTGAACCGTTGAGGCTCCTGCTACCTCCAGAGCAGGCAACAAAGATTAGACCCTGCCAGGAGGGAAGCACACCAGATAAGGATGGAGAATTATCTTGACAAGGGGCATGAAAAAAATTACTGGATGACAAAAAAAATACATCACCAAAGATCAATAAAACATTTGTAGAACACCCCACGGAGATGTGATCTGCCCACTGTACAGATCAGAAGAGCTTCCTTTCTTCTTCTGCGTCAGAAAATATCTGCTTGCTGGTCAATGTCCAGAGGATGATGTGAAGATGGGAAAGGACATTTTCCCTGGACACCATTTCTGAAGTTACATCTCTGTGTGTGCTTTCATTGGTGATGCCATTTCTCTTTGCTTTCTCTTCTTTTCTTGGGAAGACTTCTCTGTCTACATTTGTATATTTATTTGGCTGACTTTCCCTGAATTTGCTGCCTGACTGAGTAATTTATTTCAAAATAACTACATGGCAAGCTGTTTTATGCTGTTTAACTAAATCCATTGATTGAAGCATTTTCTGACACCTGGCCGTCCACATGGAGATTTCTCTTTTCCAGTCTTCCTAGTCTGGAAAAGACGTCACCATCCACAGGAAGTGTTTGTCATTGTACCCAATCTGGTCTCAGTAGCACCATTTACATACCAATAGTGTAAATCTCTGTGTTTCTTATAGACACATGATATGGTTTGGATTTGTGTCCCCGCCCAAATCTCATATCGAATTGGAGAAGCCTGGTGGGAGGTAACTGGATCATGGAGGCAGATTTCCTCCTTGCTGTTCTCATGACAGTGAGTGAGTTCTCATGAGATCTGATGGTTGAAAATTGTGTGACCTTCCCCCTTCACTCTCTCTCTTTCTCCTGCCACCATGTGAAGAAGGTGCTTGCTTCCCCTTGGTGTTCTGCCATAAATGTAAGTTTCCTGAGGCCTCCCAGTTATTCTTCCTGTTAAACCTGTGGAACTATAAGTCAGTTAAACCTCTTTTCTTCATAAATTAGCCAGTTTCAGGTAGTTCTTTATAGCAGTGTGGTAATGGACATAATGGACTAACACTATCTTGTTCTCTGGTATCTTTATTAAAGCATTTTCAGTGTCTGCTCATGCTCTCTTCTTTAACAATAATGTGCTTTCTGTGTTTATTCCTGTGACATGCAGCAGCCAGCACTGCCAGCCCCCATGGCTCTGCATGTCCCCACTGAGGTCCTGTTCCAGTGTCTGCAAGTCCCTCCTGATATTAACATATAACCACTGGCAATTATCTCAACATTTCTATTTTCTAAATAATTTTCATTTTAAAATCCTCCAGTACCAAAAGTTGTTTAAGACAAAAACAAATAGTTAATTTCCAGTTAGCAAAGCTTTCTCTTTGTATTAAGTATGCTTTAATCACATATTCAAAAACATGTGGTTTCTATTTTAATAACTTCTAAAAAATAATTTGGATTTTGTTTTGGGTGGATTATATTGTATGAAATCCCTTGTCTTTTCATATTTTGACCATTGTATTTTAATGTTTTGTAGCATGTCTTAGAATGAATGCAGGCATTCCTTTGGAGCATATATCCAACGAAAAGGAGTGAAATTACTGGGTCAGCAACTTCTTTTTTTTTTAATATTTGATTAAATGAAATGTTTTACATCTCTCTGTTCCTCTTGCTCTTCTGTACATTATCATTCTTGTGGCTTTTTAAATTCAACTTTTAATTTTTAGATAATTGTAGATTCACATGTAGATGCAAGAAATAATGCAAACAGATCCCATACCCAGTTTTCCAGTGGTAACATCATGCAAAATTATATTATAATATTTTTAATGTGGGTGTTTATCACTGTAAACTTCTCTCTTAGAACTATTTTGCTGCATCCCATAAGTTTAGGGATGTTGTATTTCCATTTGTGTTTGTCTCAAGATAGTTTTTAAATTTGCCTTTTGGTTTCTTCTTTGACATACTGATTGTTCAACATGATATTATTTAATTTTCAAAAATTTGTAAATTTTCCAATTTTCTTCCTGTTACTAACTTTTAATTTATTACCATGGTGGTCAGAAAACAGACTTGATATGATTTTAATCTTCTTAAATTTGTTAAGATTTGTTTTGTGGCTTAATATATGATCTATCTTAGAGAATGTTCTGTGTATGCTTGAGAAGAATGGTCATTCTGCTGCTGTTGAATGTAATGTCCCATAAATGTCTCTTAGAACCTCTTGGTCTATCGTGTTGTTCAAATCCAAAGTTTCCTTTTTGATTTTGTGTCTGGACAATCTATCCGTTGTTGAAAGTGGGGTATAAAAGTTTCCTGCTAATGTTGTGTTGCTGTCTGTTTCTCCCTTCATTGTGTTCATATTTTCGTTACATATTTAGGTGCTCTGAACTTGGGTGCACATACACTTAAAATTGTTATATTTTCTTGATAAATTGACTCCTTCGATCATTACAAAATTATCTTCTTTGAATCTTGTGGCAGTTTTTAACTGAAAGTCTATTTTATCTGATGTGTGTATAGCCACCCCTCTTCTCTACTAGCTACCATCTGCATGGAACATCTTTTTCCATCCCTTCACTTTTAGCCTATGTGTGTCCTTAAAGATATATTGAATCCCTCAGATGCAACACATAGTTGGATCTTGGTTTTCTTTTTCTATTCATTCAGCCACTCTATGTCTTTTGATGGAGAATTGAATTCATTTATATTTAAAGTGATTATTGACAGATGAGGACCTATTACTGCCATTTGTTCAGGGGTTTCTGACTATTTTGTAGATATTTTGTTCTTTCTTCCTCTTGCTGTATTCCTTTGTAATTTAATGATTTTTTTGTGTGGTAATATGCTTTGATTTTACTCTTTTTGTCTTGTGTGTACCTACTACAGGTTTTTGTTTGTTGTTGCCATAAGACTTACATAAAATATCTTACAGTTTTTAGTCTATGTGAAGCTGCTAATAACTTAACTTCAACTGCATACAAAAACCCTACACTTTAACTTCTTCTCTCTACACATTTTTATGTTATTCATGTCACAATTTACATCTTTTCATACTCTGTATCCACCAACAAATTATTATGGCTATAATTGTTTTATTTTATCTTTTAATTTTATACTAGAATTAAAAGTGACTTATGCCATCAGAGTATGAGAGAAGTCTGAATTGTACTATATTCTTATTTTTACAGTGAGTTTTATACTTTTGAAATGAGAAAAGTTCCCTTGTTCCCCTCGCGGGGCACGTGATGGGGGTGTGGCTTGCTTCTTCAGTGCCCCACTGCTCAAACCTCTAGGGGAGCATACAGATGGGCAGATTGTGGGGCTCCGACCCCACGGTGGCATCTAGGGGTGGATGTTTACAGCTCCTGAAGCCCTAGGAGGAGAAACTTCTCATCTGCTAAATGGGGCTCCCTTGCAGCTCTGAGGTTCTGAGATCTTAATGTGTGCACTGTGTCTTCAGTGCACACAATACCACCCAACACAAATTCAATGCAATTGATTCCCCAGCAGTTGAACTCAATCACAATGCCACTGGCCTTGTTCTAAAAATTAAAGAACTGCTGCAGGAAGGGCCCTATAAATTTTGTCATCATAACTGCCTGAGCCAGAGATGTGGGGTGTTCCCTGCCAATCAGGGCAGAACAGGTTGACATGGGCCAATGAAGCCCAGAGGTCCTGGAGGAGATGAAAGTCACACAGGCCCCCTCAGAGATATCTGCCAACGTCAGTGTTGGGGTCTCTTCTGAAGGACGCTGTCTGTGAGATTGGGAAAGGTACCCAGCAGCCTTGTTTCTGTGGCCCAATACTTTTTCCACCAGACTCCTTCACGTGCCTAATTTGGGACATGGTTTCTGAGCTGCAGGTGTTGCCCACTCCAGCCCAGAGATCCCAGAACATCCTGCAAGCTCAGACGCAGGATAAAGGGCCACAGGAGCAGGAGCCTCCTCTCTCTGGGCAACTTCAGACTGTTTCCCCACTGTGCTGTCCTAGAAGGGGCTGATGCAGTGAACAGAGCCCTTGGGGCAGGTGGGGCCTGGGCTCAGCTGCAGAGACCAGGGGACGGGCTGGACCACATTCTCTTTCTGCCATATGCAGCTGCCTTACACTACAAGAGGGGGAAGAAGGGAGCTGAGGAGGTAAAAAGAGAAAAGACCCAGAGCCAGCGGGCTTTGTCACATCGGCTGTGACAGTTAAACCTGGCATTACTCGTAATTGCTTACATTTACTACACATTCATACAGAGGCCATGCTGTGGCTAGGCGTCTCTGGGCTAAGAATGTCTTATTCATTTAGAACTAGTACCTCGGACTCTGATTACGGGCCTTGCTGCGTGTAAGGAACAGCACTGCTTTAGCATGAAGCCTAGCCTATTGTCAGTGCTCAGAGAGCTCTGACACCAACAATTGGTTTTCCTACAAAGAATCACGTAATATTTGGGTTATAGAAGCAGGGCAGTGCTAACTGGATGTCCTGAAAGGAATGGACCTGGCATAAGAAGGGATGGAGAGCAGAATTTGAAAAGCATCCAATCCTGAAATTGGGCTGGAGGGAGCATGTCCCAAGCCTGTTAGGGACTGCAGGAAATTCATGACCAGTATGAAGGTGAAGCTGGGCACCTGCAGGCAGGCTGGTCTGCTCTCTCTGCTGTGACCCTCCTCAGGGCAGGCTGTGCTGTCAACAGGTGTTGTGCAATGCCAAGAACCCATGAGAATTCTCACTACGCCAGGGTTTTGAGGCACCCCTGTTCCCAGGTTCCTTCCTAGAACCCTGGTCGCCTTGGGATGACTGGGGGATTCTAGTTGACTACCCAAGGAAATCTGAAGCTTGGGAAGTTTGCAATGTTAAGTCTCGGTCCAGAGTCGGACCTGGCTCCGCGCCTGTCTGGCAGCAGCAGCAGCAATCCCTATCCGGGTCCAGAGCCCTGCCCAGTGGATACTGTGTGGTGTTTCCACAAAGTTGCATCTTTGAGCACCTCACAGAGAATCTGGAGCCTCTCAACCAGGACAACGTGAGAAAAAAATCTGAAGAAAAAGGCCCAGGTGCTTGGGGTAAGAACAGCCAAGCAAAGGGCAGAGGCTGAGTGGGTGCCAGGAGGACACTTTGTCACTTTGGAGACAGAGCCTTTGGCTTAAGGAGTTCCAGGCTGCTCTGGAGGCGTCGGGGGAGGCCTCTGGGACCACCTAGTCATTTTCCGCAAGAAAGTAAGAGATTTCCCAGTTTTGTGCTCATGGGGAGCATTCACCTGAGATATAAAACTTTAGCTGCTTAACTCATTTTAAGGGAATAATAACATATTTGCATACACTTTATTTGGAGGCAAAAGAAAAAAAATAGTCTGTTGAATAAATTATTCTAGATTTTACTTCCCAGGGATTTTTTTTTCTTTCTAAAAATTATAGACAATTCATCTCCTATTCTCCCTTCTTGAGAAATTAACCATTTGAAAACAGATATGTGCCCTTAGTCTGCCTTCCAATATCTCTCATACGATCCATGATTTTTAAAGAAATACAACTCCATTGCATGACCAAAGGGAGGAGGGGGAAACGGAAAGAAGGAGCTGGGCAACACAAGCACCAGGGGGAAGGGCCTGGGGCCCAGGGCCAGCACCTCCCTACTTGTGGGAGCCTCAGCTGTTCCTTCAATCCCCAGGCCACACCTAACCTTGGGTTGAAAAGTGCTTTCTGGGCTGACTCCGCTGTTAGAACAGGTAGGAGGTTGCTTGGTAAATGTTGCAAGAATGTGAACTCTTGTGGTAGAAATATTCTGAGGCTGATTCAGAGGCTGCCTGGGACCCCGTCACAGCTCTGGGGTCCGTCTCCCACAAGGAGCCATGCCCCGAACAGAGGTACCTGTGTCCACTCATCCTGCAGAGAGTGGGAGCCAGTTCCTGCCCCACCTGCTGTCTCCTAAGTGCTTCTTTGTGCCCAGGAGGGAGAGGGAGCAAAGGGCATGGGAACCTCCTGGGCTGTGACCAGTCATCACCTGGGATCCCACTGCCACAGCTCAGAGCTAAAGACAGAAACACCCAGCATTTCACTGCACGCTGATCTCAGCCAGCACTGGGAAGGGCTGGGAGCATGTCCTGCGTGCTTGGTTTCCCATGCCCCTGAGACGCTTTTCCTGCTTCCGCACTATCTCCTTGGGTTGCACAGAGAGTTCCAGCACTCCGCTTCCCTGGGGAAACTGACAATGACTGGCCCTTGATTGACTCACCCAGTGAGTTGGTTTCCTGGGGCCATGGTAACAAACTACCACAAACCAGATGGCTTTAAAAAAAAAAAACAAAAAAAAAACAAAACAAAACAGAAACTCATGCTCTCCCAATTCTGGAGGCCAGAGGCCATAGTCTGAAATCCAGGTCTGGGCAGGGCCAGGCTTTCTCTCCCAGCTCTGGTGTATCCTGGCAGTCCTTGGCTCTCCTTGGTTGCAGCTGCATCCCTCCCACCTCTGCCTCCGTTTTTGTGTGACATTCTCTCTGCCAGCATCTGCCTGTTTCTCTTGTCTTGTACCTACACCAGTCATACTGGATTAAAGGCCCTCCCTGCTCCACTCTGATCTCATCTTAACTGACATCCCAATGACATCTACAAATACCCTATTTCCAAAGAAGATCACATTCCCAGGTATCAGGGGTTAGGACTTGAACATATCTTTCTGAGGTCACACCAGGTGACCCTTCTTCCCTAACAGACCATCCAGATCCTCTGTGGCTTTGCAGTTATGAGCATGGGGATCCTTTTGGCATGTACTTCCTTTCCCTGTCACTTTGGCCCAGTGGTTCTCACCTTGGTGAGGTCTGGATACCCATTCGTAGGAGCCAAGTATGTGAGTAGGATGGGTGTTCATGGAGGGTGGTCTCTGGGATGGAGCAGGGCACAGACAACTGATATGCTACCTAGCAATGTCTCTGTGGAGAGCAAAGATGCAGGAATGGAACTTGTTTTGAGGGCAATCAGCCAGGAGTGAGAGAAGGCCTGGCAGGAGAAGGGGTTTTGCCAATGGGAACAGAATTGATCATCTGGCTCAAATATCAGTTCTTCCAAAATCCTCATAGTGCCATCCTCGAGGGCCCTGGGAGCCCTGCAGCTTCTCTCTGGGGTGACAATAGCATGTGTAGCCTCAACAGGGACACTATAAGAATAAAAGAGTGTGCTATTACTATTTATGCCATGATCACAGGAATACCCAGGACTGTCCCTGACACACTGGACATAGGGTCACCCTACTTCTCCCTAAGTTCAGGTGACACAAGGAGTAGGAGTGAGGTGGGCAGACAGCAAGTGAGAAATGGGGTGGACAGGGCACACAGTGGGGTGGCCAGGCTGGTGCATTTGTGGCCCTGTCTATGGGGCCAGCAGGACCAGTGGGGTCAGTAGAGCATATACTGAGCTTGAAGAGGTGGCATGGAGCACTTAGAAGCTCTATCTGCTGCTTGTCATCTCTTGGCATGTGGAAGGCCTTCTGCAGAGTTACGCTCCAGACATAGCCTCGGAGTCCTGAATATCCCCCAGGCTCCTGGAATCAAGGAGTGTCTTAGACGGCTTGAGCTGCTTTAACAAAAATACCATAAGCTGGGTGGCTTATAAACAGCAAGCATCTATTACTCACAGTTCTGGAGGCTGGAAGTCCAAGATCGTGACACCGACAGATTTGGTGTCTGGTGAAGGCTGTTGCTTGTTCATAGATAGAGCGTTCTCGCTGTGTCCTCATGTGGTGGAAGGGCAGAGGAATCTCTCTGGGTTCCTTTTATAAAGGAAGTAATCCCATTGATGAGGGCTTCACCCTTACGACCTACTCACCTCCCAAAGACCCCACCTCCAGATACCATCGCATTGGAGGTTAGGTATTTAGCACATGAAATCTGGGGGCAACAGACATTCAGGCCACAGCAAGAAGCTTCAGGAGAAAGCTTTCAGTCTTGTGAAATGTGAATGAGGCTTTCCCACAGCCTAGACCTGTCTTCACGCCCCAGCCGCAGCCTCTTGCATTCACGGTGGCTTTTGAGCATCCTCTGACCACTGAGTCACAAACCTCCCTGTTCCCTCTCTATCTGGCTATTTTCTTGGTAGGACCAGAAAAACTTTTTTTTATAGTCTTGCCACCATGCCATGTAGTTTTCGTACATTGCAGCTATTTCAAATTACTGCATTACCACAGAACACTTTTTCTGTAATAACCCAGAATCAACAGTTTTTTTCTAGCTGTTAACCTGGCCTCAAAATCTTCCCTTTATTTGGGCCCCCTTTTTCTTCTGTCCTTAACTCTGACTCTGGTAGAGCCCATGGAACTGACAGTTCAAAGCCCGCGTGGCTTTTCTCTCCCCACCACAACATCTTCATCTAAATAGAGTCTTGTAACATTTACCTGCCCTCTCTCCCTTGAAAATCACTGTTCCCTGGTCCCTGTTGGGGAGCCTGGGCCTTAAGCCCCTTTGTCTTTGCCCTAGAAGAACTTCCTCTCCAGCTGAGTCAGGTTCTCATGAGATTCTAGGGGTGGCTTGGCCTCCTATATCCACTTCCCTCAACATTGGCCTGTAGCCACATATGGCCTGGACTTTGGCCCAGCTTCCAGCATGCCCAATAATGTCAGCCCTGTGGGGAAGTTCCTGGAGGTGTACAAGGACGTGACAATTCAGTGGTAGGGACATCGGGGTGCTTGTTCATGTGGAAACTGACTTTACCATTTTCCTCTTTTCTGAGTAGTTTATCATTTCTGGATTGCTGTCTGTCATTTTGGGAAGAAAATCAAACAAGCATCTGGTGAGTATAGGAACAACAGTGCCTCACTTACTAAAAAGAGACTTTAGCGGAACCTCATCCAGTTGGATCTTTCCAAGGTTCAGACAAAGGAACTGAACCCCAGGTTGCTGACAAGTGTCCTTTGGTCAGTGGCCCTGTGGAAGTACACAGGGCCCACTGATCTGGGGGACACCTTTCATGATCCTCATTTTGAAGAGAGTCCTGTACCCTCTCCAGGCTCTGGGTGGCTTTATGGGAAAATTCTGCCTCATCATGACACCCTTTGGTGTTCACTGACCACCGGGGTTCAGGTCCTTGGTGAGCACAGGGGAAAGAGGACAGTGAGAGCATGGGCTGTTAGTTGTGCACCACAGCCTGGGTGAGAAAAGCATCAATCAAAAGAGATGAGCCTTGCTGGTGGGGGCCAGGAAGGGTGCAGAGTGAAAAGGGGGTGTTCAGTGATGGGTGCACATCTGATTGACAAACTTTTGCAGAATCATTTCCAGGCCTTTCTTAGGAGGCTAAGAGGCATGGGTTGGGGGACAGAGATGGGTATGGTGGAGATTCTGGTGACCTGGGATTTGGGGGTCTCCCTGTCCTGACACAGAAGCTGCCAAGAAACTGGCAGCCAAGCCTCAAGGTGGCAGTGCCAGGTTTGGACACTGTCATTCTCTCAGACCTCCCTCAAAGGATCAGATGCCCTTCTTCATCCCCACCCTCAGCCTCCCCTGAGCCCTCCAGGAAAGCAGCCTGTGTGGATCCCCTAAACAAGGGCAGGAGCACCAGCCCTACAGAGCAAGCAGCAGCTGGGTGAGGCAGACGGCGGCACAAGGTGGGGACCACGGTGTTCCAGGGCCACTTAGGCTCCTAGGAAATTCACCCGCCACCATCCTCAGGGACCTCTTCTTTGAAAAAAAGGGACTTTCTCAGAACATTCTGACAACACGAGTTGTGAATCCCTGGGGCTGTATGGAGAAATGGCCCACGACCTTTTTCCATCTCTTCCCCCATCACTGCCCAGCTCTGAGATTGAGCCCCTGGGAAGAGGGCCCGGATCTTTGCCAGAGGCTGCTGGGCATACCTGAGCACACGTGCCATGGGCTGCTTGTGACGGGCTGGAACACCTAGCCCAGGTGTCCCAGAAGCCACCACAGACATCAGCCTATTCCTCCCCTGGTGTTGGTCTTTGAAAAGTGAGTCTGGACACCGCAAAACTGGAATCCAGGTTTCCTACTTTCGAGGGGAGGTAGCACCCCATGGCGCAGCTGTGATTCTCAGCCCTCCTCTGGGCCGTGCCCCAGCCGGGATCTGAACATCCACCCTCGGCCCCAGGTGCTGTTGCCCCCACACTGAGCCCTCGTACCCCATGCTCCCTGGCCCTCCTGCCAGGGCACCCTTTTCACAAAGTGGAGTGGATGAAAAGAACAGGAAAGAGCACCAACCCTGCTGCTGTCCCCATATGACAGAGGCTGCTGTGGGGGCATCTGTTGTACTTGGGTGAGCAGGCCCCTTGGCCTCGAGCTCTACCATGCAGGGGTGCTGCAGACAGAGCCAGGTGATAGGAAAGAGCATGTCTGGGAACCCACCTGATGACAGCCTCAGCTCAGGATGAGGCAGGAGGCCTCTGGCTAGGCTTAGGGGAGATGGCTGGAGGAACCTCCTCAGGGTGCCAGTGGACTGGGTAAAGCCAGCAGGGGGCTTGGAGGTCAGGGAAGCTGTGATTTATCAAGCACTGTGGGCATTGCAATATTTTCTCTGTTCGGTTCAGTCCAATGGGACATCAGTTCTATACATATCTTCCTCTTCCTCTAGCCCTGCTCAGTCCTGGGTGGAGAAGCTACCAGAACCACATCTCCTGTCTGTCCCACCATAAGTCTCTGCTTCATTCACGCTTTCATGTGTCGTGCATCAAGCAAGCATTTGCCTGTAGGCTTGGGGAGCTCTGAGAGGGGTTGAGAGTGAACAAAATTAATCAAATCGTATAACAGAAGAGGAAGTCCCATCCTGCCGAGGATCCTGGATGTGAGAACCTGCTGCTGGCCTGGTGGGATCGTGGTGCCCCAGGAGCATGAACTGCTCAGGAGCAGACCCTGACCAGATCCCCTGCAGGCCTGGAACAGCCTGATCAGCAGCCTCCTAAGCCCCATGGCTGCCACAGTGGGCCTCATTGTCCTTCCCTATCACCTAGCCGGGGTGTTCCCAGCTGCCAGACAGTGCCAACTGGTGGTGCCTGCCCATCAGTGCCCCAAGACAGCCACTACTTTTCGAAGAATGAGACCACCAGCTGCTTTGTGGCCAGCTCCAGCTTACTGGTGAGTATTTTTAGGTAGAATCTTCCAGACTAGTGAAGTCTTTGAGATTTTCTGCTTCTTGTTCACTGCTTCCTTCTGATGTGGACCATGCGGAAAGAGGCAGAACACAGGAACCCACACATGGGAGAATAGCAGGCATTTGACTGGACTGTGCCAAAAGAGTTGTTCAAGTACAATATCAAGCAAGACTGTAGTTGCAAAAAGACATAACCAACAACTTGGTTTCAATTTGAGCAACTTAATAAACAAACTGATTTAACTGTCATAGTCTCAAGGGATGGGTTTTTCCAAGCAAGAACTCTAGGGTCAGGGTAGCGAATTGCTCAAGAAAGGCCAAGAGCTCAGGGAGACATAGGAACCTCATAAACAGGGTGGCCACAGGCTGGCAGTGCCCAGGTTCAGCCAGGCAAGAGCCACAGGTCAAGGGAGGCTGCAAGAGGCTAAATCCTAATTCCATCACATGCACAAAAATGGATGGGATGGCCAAAAATGACCCCAAAAAATCAGGAAACAAATACGGAATGGGCTTTTTAATTGTTGTTTGCAATCAGAACTTTATGAAAATGACAGAATGTGGTTTCGCATTCTCTGTTGCATTAGAGCCAGTCTGAGCATCAGTATTTGCTCTAAAATGTGTTTAGTCAATAAAGTCAAGAGAACATGTGTGTGGAACACTGAGAAAAGAAGGCAGAGGAAGTTTGCATTCCTGCAGCCATAGAGGGGGATATTCTAGGGGTGGAGAGGCAGCAGGCAGGGGGAATGTGTGCACAGCCTGGCCGTTGTCCCATCCCCTCATCGCTGGCTTCAGGCCATCCTCCCATAGATGGAGCAGCTATAATGGGAGTGGAGGGTTGAGGGGCAGGGGAGGCATCTGCTGAGCGGCTGGATGGGGTTTGTGTAGTGGGTTAGGATGAGCTCCTCAGAAACCAGCCTGAGCTCTCTGGCTCAGGAGCTTCTCAGGAAGAGCTGAGAAGCGGCAACCCCTGCCTGAGGGGTCCTTGTGTTCATTTCCCATGGCCACAATAACAGAGGACCACAAACTGGTGACTGAAAACAACAGAAGTGAATTCCTTCACAGTTCTGAAAGCAAAGTCCAAGATCGAGGAGTCGGCAGGGCCGCTCTTTCTCTGAAGGCTCTAGGAAAAAACTCTTTCTTGTCTCTTCCAGCTTTGGGGAACTCCAGGCATTCTTTGGCTTCTGGACACGTCTTTCTAACCTCTGTCTCCATCCTCATGAGGGCTTCCCCTCTGTTTGTCTCTGTGTCCTGTTCTCTTCTTATAAGAACACCAGTTATTGCATTTAGGGTCCACCCTAAATCCAGGATGATTTCACCTTGAGATCCTTAACTAATTGCACCTACACAGACCATATTTCCAGATAAGGTCATATTCTCAGGTTCTATGTAGACATGAATTTGAGGGGGGACACTAACCCACTATAGTCACAGTCTGTACAAATAAATTCTAGATTCTGCCCACCTGTGGCCTTACCTGTTCTACTTGGAAGTCATTGTTCCATGGAAGGTGACCCAGGGAAGCAGAATTGTTCTCCTCCTCAGGCAGATAGCTCCTGGGGACTGGCGTGAGAATTAGCAACTGTGCCAGCACATCACTTTGATTGGTCAAGGTGCCCCTTGCTGCCTCCCAGCCAAGCCAAGCAGGCCCACCCCAGGGAGCATAGGTGGGTAGCAGGTGCTGGCGCTCAGTTTACAAAGGAAGGCCTTCTGCCTCACCACCTCTGTGGACCTGCAAACCGCCCTAAGGGGTGAGTGGGAAGTCCCCATCTTACAGAAGATGAAATTGAAACCCAGACAGGCGGAGACTCTCCCTGGAGGCCAGATGAATGAAGAGTCAGGAGGCTCAGCTCAACCTTGGGTGTCACCTGCCACCTGTACTGCTGTCCCTGGAGTGGCCCAGGATACTAGGATATGACACTGTCTCCCAGATCATGAGCAGGTTGAGTCAGGTACGAGGGAAGAGGAGCCAGCAGATGACACTGTCTAAACCCATCTGGTCATCTCAGGAAGGCAGAAGGGTTGGCCAGTCCAGCACAGACCTCGTGCATCCTGCATTTCAGAGGATCCTGTCTGTGATGCTCCTCTTCACGGCATTGGAGCTCAGTGTCGCTATCCTTTCTTCTGTCCTCTTGTGAAAAAAGACCTGTTCAGATGTCCTCAGGGTGAACCTGCTGTGCCCTGGGCTCTGGGGCCTGGGTGGTGGCACAGGGCATGGTCCTGGGGCCAATGGCAGGTGGTACTAAGGTCGACCCATGAATCTTGACCTTAGTCGAAGTCGACAGGTTTTGTTGAGTGAGGCAGCAGCCGGCAGAACAGGATGAGAGCAAGTGCCCAGGGTGGAGGAATCACAATAGGAAGCGATGGGACCAAAGAGAGCACATCACACATCTGCTCATTTAGCAAAGCAGGAAACAGGCTAAGGTGCAGAAGCCCTCTGGTCCCTGGAACCCTCAAGTTTTTATATTTGTGTATCCCTTGTCTTTTGTTTCAAGATATTTTTTAATTTCTCTGGTTTGATTTTTTGGAGATAAAAGGCCTTCCACTCAGCGTACAAGGCCTGTTCACTTGCTTTGTCCTCTCCAGAATGTGTTTCCTGACCCAAAGTGACACAGTGATCACCAGCATGCCCCAGGCAGCATTTGCTGACACCGTCCTGGAGATGAACAAGGAGTGCACCCTTAGTGTGGGGGCAGAGAGAGAGAGAGCACATTGTCTGCAGGAGTCAGCTGAATGATCTCACAGACCCCACCTGCTGGGCTCTTCCATTTTATCACAATTATTCCGCCTGTTCACGTGCAGAGAGAACACTTGGGGCAGATTTTAAGACCTTAGAGAGTAACTTGTTTACAAATAAAATATCTCTTTGATGATGTATTTGGATTCCATGTCATTTTGCCACATTTCTCTTAATTTACTGGACACCAACAATGATATAAAAGTTAAGATTTTAGGAAATGTAGAAAATTTCTAAATAAAAATCAAAAAAGAAAATAAAACAACAAAATGAAGAGCTGCCTGGGAGAGATGAACCCATGGTCCCCGTCTTCACGCTAAGATGCAAAAGAGCAGAGCTTCCAGCTTCCAACTGGAGCTCCCACACAAAATACTGGGGAAATCTTCCTCCTTCCAACAATGGTCTTCCTATTGATCCTGAGACCTTGCTGGCAACCAGCCGTGTCTCTGCCCCTCTTTCTGTGCTCTCGTGACTCATCCCAGCTTCTCTCTCTGTGCCCCTTTCTTGTTCCCCTCTGCCCATTTCTCTTTTTATCTGAATCCCCAGATGCCCCTGCACAATCTGAGTGTGCAGAGTGGCCCAGCCCTCCCTAGGAAGGGAAAGCACTGGCCCCTTGCTTGGAGAGAAGGCAGAGACTGCTCTCCCACAAGACTGTAGTGCCCTAAAACCCCCTGATCAGCTCACACCTTGTTTCCTGGTGGCCAGGCCAATGATGAGGTTCACCACAGCCTACCTCAGCCAGGGACCTTATGACTTAATAGGGGAAGAGCCACAGAATATAGCCACATATATGGGCAGAAGTCCTGAGATATCCATGGGGCTGGATACTAAAGGGTCTCCATTTCCAAGTAGAACCTAAGGTTAGATGAGAGAGGTTTATTATCAATGCAGGAGGATCCTCACAGGATACAGGATTTAACAGCCTAACAGGGATTCCAGAAGATAGTTCAAATCAGATTCAAGGTAAGCTCCTGTAAGTATGGAAAAAGTGACAACTCCCCACGAAAGACAGAGGTGAGAAGGCTCAGAGAAGTGGATATGCTGGGGTGGATACACTCTGTAAATCCAGAAAAATCTACCTGCTGCCTATTTTTCAATTGTTCAATTTGCCTGTTAAATCATCTGGGCCTGGTCATGCTAAATTTTTTTAACTACCAATTTTGATTTACTTAATGATTGTAAATCTGGTTTATCCATTTCTTCTGTTTTTTAATTCACTCTGCATTGATATTTATACTACAACTCTCCAAACACTATTTCACAAATCAAGCTTCTATAGCAAAAGTAGGAAAACGTTTTAAGAAATTTTATTTTACTTTGTCAATGACCAAAAACACACAAGACTGGCATCCTCACCCAATTTCTCTAGACTTTGTTTCTGGGATCATCAGCTATCACATGTTGTATTAGTCCGTTCTCACGCTGCTATAAGACAGCCTAAGACTGGGTAATTTATAAAGGAAAGAGGTTTAATTGACTCCCAGGTCTGCAGGGCTGGAGTGGCCCCAGAAAACTTACAATGCCAGCAGAAGGGGAAGCAAACACCTTCTTCTTTACATGGTGTCAGCAAGGAGAAGGGCAGAGTGAAAGGGGACAGGGGGAAGCCCCTTTTAAAAAACCATCAGATCTGATAACAATTCACTATCACAAGAACAGCATGGAGGCAACCTCCCCCATGGTTCAATTACTTCCCACCAGGTCCCTCCCACAACATGTGGGGATTATGGGAACAACAATTCAGGATGAGATTTGGGTGGGACACAGCCAAACCATATCACATGTCTTCAATTTCTGCCTCCTAAAAATGACATCTTTGCCAGGTGTGGTGGCGCACACCTGTAATCTCAGCAGTTTAGAAGGCTGAGGCAGGTGAATCACTTGAGGTCAGGAGTTTGAGACCAGCCTGACCAACATGGTGAAACCCCATCTCTACTAAAAACACAAAAAACTTAGCCTGGTATGGTGGTGTGCACCTGTAGTCCCAGCTACTCAGGAGGCTGAGGCAGGAGAATTGCTTGAACCCAGGAGGTAGAGGTTGCAGTGAGCTGATATCACATCACTGCACTCCAGCCTGGGTGACACAGCGAGACTCCATCTCAAAAAACAAAACAAAACAAAAAAATGACATGCTCAACCTTGGTCTTTCCTCAACTGTCAACTCTGAGTGCTAAGAACCTAAAAGATATCTCTGCTTTACTGCACAGCAAGGTCTTTGTTGTGAGTTGGGTTGTGTCCTCTCAAAATTTGTATATTGAAGTTCTAACCCCCAGTATCTCAGAATGTGACTTTCTTTGGAAATAGTGTCTTTATAGAATTAAAATGAGATCATTAGGGTGGGCCCTAAGAGGATATTAGGGCACGGACACTCACAGAGGGACAACTGTGTGAAGACACAGGGAGAAGACAGTTATCTACAAACCAACAAGAGAGGCCTCAGAAGAAATCAACACTGCGGACACCTTAATGTCAGAATTTTGGCCTCCAGGACTATGAGAAAATAAATTTTTCTTGTTGAAGCTTCCCAGTCTGTGATACTTCGCTATTGCAGCTCTAGCAGACTAATACACCCTTCAAATTCACCAGGGCCAAATTGAACCCACCATTCTCCTCTAAAAATTTCTTTTGCTTTCACCATTTTGTTTAAGGTCCTCACTCTTCCCATCACTCAAACTCTGAAAGTTCTTTTCCCATAGTGAAAAGGCCTAATGAAGGTGTTTCCCCATGGATTCTTTCCTTTTAGTTCTGTCTTGTGGACTGCAGCTGACTCAGCCCTGAGGGTGCCCTTGATGTCCCCGCTCAATTAGCATCTCTACCATTTCACCATTGCTTGCATGAGACAGTCGAAGGGTCATGAAAGCTTCTGTGATCTGGAAGACGTATTCTATAACAGTAGCGTTTCACAGCAGAAGCCAGACTTGCAACATTGCAAAGATCATGGGATTTGGAAGCAGAAAACCTGAGTTTCTATTTGGACTCTGCCACTTACCAAGTGTAGAACTTTTGGAAAAACCTTGGAAAGTCTTCCTATCTCCATTATGGATCAAGAGTGTGACCTTGGTTCACCCTCTCACCATTCTTTCCTTAATTTTTTTTTCTTATAAATAATAGCTTCCACCTTCCACCCTGCAGAGCAATTGTAAACTTCATAACACATGCGAAGCGCTTGACTCAAAAAACAGGAAGCACTAAGGACTGTTAATTTAACTGGCATCTCATTACTTTTATAAGAAAGCCTAGCATAAAGAAAAGGTGTGTCCACTGTTATGGGTTGAATTGTGCCCTCCCAAGAAAGATACATTGAAGCTCTACTCCCCAAACCTCAGAATGTGCCCTTATTTGGAAATAGCAGCATTGCAGATGTCATTAGTTAAGACAAAGTTATACTAGAGTAGAGCAGGCCCTAATCCAATACGGCAGGTGTCTTTACGAAAAGATAGCATGTGAAGACACAAACATACAAAGAGAAGGCAACCATGTGGTGACAAGAGGAGAGACTGGAGTGATGCTCCTGCAAGCCAAGATTGCTGGCAAACCACCAGAAGTTAGGAAGAGGCAAGGTAGGATTCCCTTACAGGTTTCAGAGGGAGGGTAGCCAGCTGACACTTTAGACTGCTAACCTCCAGAGTTATGAGACAATAAGTTCCTGTTGTTTGAAGCCGCCCAGTTTGTGGTACATTGTTGCAGCAGCCCTAGGAAACTGATACATCTACACAATGCAATGTCCTTCAGCCATAAAAAGGAATGAAACACTGACATTGGCTATCATGTGGATGAAATGTGAAAACAGCATGTTCAGTGAAAGAAGCCAGGCACAGAAGACCACATATTATATAATTCCATGTATGTAAAGTGTCCAGAATAGGTGAATCCATACAGACTAAACACAGATTAATGGTT
The DNA here is from genome assembly GCF_000001405.40 of Homo sapiens. NCBI lineage: Eukaryota > Metazoa > Chordata > Mammalia > Primates > Hominidae > Homo > Homo sapiens. The sequence goes on from NT_167244.2 coordinate 779,977, forward strand.
GCCAGGGGCTGCAGGAGGGGAGAATAGGAACTGACGGCTAATGAGTATAAGCTTTCTCTTAAGGGTGATATAAGTGATCTGGAATTAGATAGCAATGATAGTTCCAAATCTTGTGAATATATTTAAAATTAAATTGTGTAACTTAAAATGGTGAATTTTATGTGGAATAATAGCAATAAAATTCAATAGAATAAAACAAAATGAACGACATGAAGCCCAACACCTCACTGGAACATGCAAAACCCTTCCTTTATTCTCTGGTGGATCCCATTTCTCGCCATTGTTCAGTGCTCTCTATGCCCCACCATGCTGTCCTACTCTCTTCATCCTCTGCCTTCTTCCATGCTGTCTGCCTACCTATAGTCCCTCTTTCCCCACGCCCTGTTTTGTTCCTGTGCTGCCCCTTTCTCACCCTGTACTCTTTCACTTTGAAGTCACTGCCCCAGAACCTTCTCTTTCACTCCACGATTGGGTTGTGTTGACCCACTTGCACATCATATGTTTCTGAGGGCAGAAATGTTGGCCCATAATTACAGTTGTCTGGTTATGTCTCTGTCTCCCTCACTAACATGCAAGCCCTACAGAAGCAGGAGCTGTGTCCAGCATGTTCACCAGGGTATCTTCCAAGTGTATCACATGATACTAGGTGCTCCGTAGACACCTGCTCAATGTCATATAGGTTCTTGGTCTTCTCTTCCAAATAAGGTAGAATAGTTATTTTTCATTTTACAGGTGAGAACATTCAAGTTGAAAGAAATGAAGAGAATATTTGATGTCCCGCAATACAGGGGAAAGCCGTTACTGCATCCCAGGAATGTTTGACCATAAAGCCCTTCCTTGCCCACTAGGCCAGGTATGTCCCATCATAGAGCCCCTCACCCCACTTGCAGGTTACCCTTCCAAAGTGCTGTTCCAAAAGAGCTCACCGAGACAAGGTGATATTGGAGAAGTGATAGACACATAGATCTATGGAAGACATTGGGAAGCTTGGGAATAAACCCACACAATTATAGCTAATTATTGACAAAGGAACAGCAGCAATTCAACAGAGAAAGGAAGGTCTTTTCAACAGTGTTAAAACAATTGGACAGTCTTTTTTTATTTTTTAGTTTTTGGTTTTGTTTTTGTTTTTAAGACGGAGTCTTGCTCTGTCATCCAGGCTGGAGTGCAGTGGCAATCTCGGTTCACTGCAACCTCCGCCTCCTGGGTTCAAGCAATTCTCTGCCTCAGCGTCCCAAGTAGCTGGGATTACAGGCGCCTGCCACCAGGCCCGGCTAATTTTTTGGATTTTTAGTAGAGATGGGGTTTCACCATCTTGGCCAGTCTGGTCTTGAACTCCTGACCTCGTGATCCACCAGCCTCGGCCTCCCAAAGTGCTGGGATTACAGGCGTGAGCCACGGCACCCAGTCAACAATTGGACAGTCTTATCCAGAATAATGAATCTTGATCTAAACCTCCTAATTTACATGTAACAAATTGCATTAGTTACAATATTAACTCAAAATGGATCGTAGATCTAAGCATAAAATATAAAAATATATAATGCTTAGACTAAAACATAGGAGAAAAAATTTTTCCAATCTAGTTAGGCAAAGAGTTCATAGATGTGACACTGAAAGCAAAGTATAGCAAAAGGCAAAAATAAATTCAATAAGTTGTACTTCATCAAAATTATAACTTTTGTTCTGTAAAATACATTGTTAAGTGAATGAAAAGATGAGCTGTAGATTTGGAGAAAATATTTTAAAAAAGCACACGTCTGACAAGGACTCATATTCAGAACACTTAAGAATGCTCAAGCCAACCCAATTAAAACAATCAATTCAATTCAAAAACAAGAAAACAAAACCAGTTTCAGAAATGAGACAAAGACTCAGACATAAACTTCAGCAACGAGGGCACGCAGCAGGCAGAGCAGCCCAGACAAGGTACTCAATACTATGACTCACTAGGGGACTACAAATCAAAACCACAGTGAGATCCTGTTACACACCCATTAGAATGTCTAAAATAAAAACCACAGACACTAGTAGTGCCGGCGAGGATGTGGAGCAACAGGACTAACACATCGCTGCCAGGAAAGCAAAATGGCACAGCTGCACTGGAAAGCAATTTGTTTCTTGTAAGGTTACACATATACTTACCACGGGAACCAGCAATCTCAGCCCTGGTATTTCTCCTAAAGACATAAAAGCTTATGTCCACACAGACACCCGTACACAAACTGTTATAAAAGCTCCAGTCATAATAGGCAAAACCCAGAAGCAAACTAAATGTCCTTTAACAGGTGAACATGTAAACAAACTATGGTGCATCCATACAATGGAGTACTGTTCAGCAAAAAAAAAAAAAATACTACACTGTATACACACACAGGTACACACACATATATCTCCTAATGTTAGCAGAATTTTTTTAATGTGTAATACAGCATTGTTTACTATAGGTAGGATGTTATGCATCGAATCTCTAGAATTTAATCATCTTCCATACCCGAAATTTTACACAAGCTGAAAAGCAACTCCTCATGTCCCTCTTCTCACCTCCCAGTAACCCCCATTCTACATTCTGCTTCTATGAGTTTAACTATTTTAGGTACTTTATCTCAGTGGAATTATACAGTATATGTCTTTTTGTGACTGGCTTGTCTCACTTAGCACAGCGTCTTCCAGGTTCATCCATGTTGCAAATGGCAGGATTTCCTTCTTTTGCATGGCTGGATAATATTCCATTGTGAGGATAGCCTCCATTTCCTTTCATCTCTCAATGGACATGAGGTTGTTTCCACATGGCTGTGTGGGAGCAAGGGGGTTTCTTAGCCACTGGAGCGTCCCATTGGGATGGGGCACTGGTGGTGACCCCTAAGCAGGGATGTGCCCTAATGGACTTGCATCTGATAGGGTCTCCAGGCCACTATGGCCCCATGCCTGGGTGAGGTTAAGAGTTAAAGAGTAGAAAACAGGAGGCCAGTGAGGGGGCATTTTTGGGCCCATGGGAAGGTTTCTGAGGAGATGGAAGGGCTGCAGGTATAGGTTCCCAATATGTCCCCACCCCAGTTCAATTTCAATGACCAAGGGAGATAGCAGAGGTAAAGAAAACAGATAAGAGGGGGTCACCTGACACCTGGTGGACAGAAGCTGACATCCAAGAGGTGATTCCACCCACCTCCCTCCTGAGCTTCCTCCTTCCTCAGGTCCAGTTAGGCAGGGGACCTGGTCAGTGGTGCCTAGTCACCTGCCACTGTGTGACCTCAGACAGGAGATTTGTCCTGGGAGCCTCCTTCCCTTCATCTATAAAAGGGGAATGGACACAGCAGCCCAGAAGGCTTCGAGGAGGAGGAGGACGTGAGAAGGTGTGCTGAATCCTGCCCTGCTGAGCATGTAGGCCTAAAATTTTACACACAAACTGAGTCCCTATGAGGAAAGGGCAAGCCCTCTGCCCTCTGCCCTTCCTATGTCTGCATATCCAGAACTGCCTCAGGTGGAGAGGGCAGAGACTAGGGAGCACCCATAGATGCTCTGATGCTGGCCACAGCCCTTGGGGGTGACAGTGATGAGGACCTGGGTGCACATGTGGTGGAGCAGCCAAGACCAGCCAGAGAAGAGACACACTCATGCACACACGTGTTCACAACATACACATTCACACTCACACACAAACACATTGAATGCATGCGTGTTGACAGTTCAAGGAGTAGAGGACACTGGACCTGGGCCCTGCTGACCCAGGCAGGGCCCCACTCTGATGGGTGCTGTAACCCCAGACGTCACTGTTGCTGAACATCTGCCTGCCCCTGAGTTGTGGAGCAGCTGGAGACACACAGTGGTGTCTGTGAGTGTCTCTGTGTGCAGGACCCTTTTCTAAGTGAGAGGCACATCTCAGCACAGCTGACTGATCATTCTCGGGTAAGTGTGACCTGCTGTCTCCCCTTCCTGCTGACATGGGGGCAGATGCTACCAGATGGCATCACTGGCCTCCGGGGCGCTGTGGAGGGTAATGTCGCTGAGCTCCCACCAGGTGCTTTCTCTTCACTGACCATGTATTGCAGCCGTCTCATTCACCCTCACACTGACTTCGTGGAATGGGTGCTAATGTACCCATTTGAAGATGAGATGCCTGAGGTCAGAGCGGAGGCAACTGACCCAGGGACCCAGATGTGACTCTGGACTGTGATCTCAGCCCTGCCTTGTGCTGTCCTGCACTCAACTCCTGACCTCTGCAGCCTTCCTGCCTTAGATACAAAATCTGCTGAGGATTCTGGACCCCAGTGGGGGTAGAACCTGGCTCTGGAAGAGCCACAGGAATGGGGGGCCCTGTGGGTGGGGTTAGAGGCATCCCTCAGTCCAAGTCTGTGCAAGAAAAAGTTCCCCAGAGGCAGGGATCTTATCCATTCAGACTTTAAGTGTGGGCTCTGATGGTTACTGTGGGACCCACCAGGCACTGGAGTTTTCCAGTTTGGGAGCAGAGCTGGGAGCCCTCTGCCCTCGAATAGTTGTGGAAAATGAAGAAACCCTGGAGGTCTGGCCGAAAGGTGACAGTCATTCCTCCTGTTCTCTGAGGCCTGGGGACAGGGGTTTAACCTGCAAGGCCCTCTCTCTGACCTGTCCTCCAGACGTATCACCTTCCCTTTGTCTCAGGTATTCCCAGGAGAGATGGCCCCTCTGGGTGTTCTCCAGAACCTGTCCCCAAGAGTTCACTTGTTCTTTGGTGACCTGGGAAAACAAAGCCTCTTCCTGTATCAACTGCTCAGGACTGTGGAATCTGCCCTCCCTCCACCAAAGGGAGGCTGCTTTGGAGACAATAGATCAAGCCTTCTCCGAACCAAACATCCTCCTTCTTGACTGGTGTTATTCTTCAAATGGATTCACTGGCCACAGTGAGTAAAGATTTGAGTGGAACAGAACACTCATGAGATTTCTTCTTTCCTATAGAAAACTGGGCATCTTCATGGTGTCTGAACAATAGCAGGAGGCTGATCATATAGAGATTTCTGGTTCCTGGCCCTAGTCTGCCTCCAGGTGTCCATTATAGTCATCATGGCCCTTCACCCTGAGCAGGTAGATGCCGTTCATCCTGCTGTGGAGTGTGTGCCCATTTCAGGACATTTAGGGACAACAAGTCTTGTTGTCTAGGTCTCCTTGTTTTAAAGTCCTCAGGAAAGGGCCCACCTCTGGTCAGGCCCAGGGACTCCAGAAATCCTGGCAGAGGTGGGGCCATTTGGCTTGGTCCCATTGTCCTGGGGGTGTTGGTGAAATGAAGTTCACCCGGCTGGCATCTGGGAGCAGATGTATGGGGTGTTCTCTAAAGCTCTCAGGTGCCATGTAATTTTGGGAGTATTTTGTCTTATAGGGTGGATATGGACAAAGACATGGATATCCTGCTCGCCCAGGAGTAAAGGGACATCATTGCCAAGTATAAGCAGACACAGGTCAGGCTGCTCCCTCCAGGGAGGCGGGTCTCACCTCTCCCTCTGTTCCCTGGTCTGATGGTCCTGGACTCCTTCGGGATGCAGGGCAAGGATGAGCTGCCCACACGCCCATACCCAACAACTTTTATTTTGGCCTCCCTCACCCTCTCTCCCTCTGCCTTGCAGGTTGCTGATCCAGGGCACCAGTGGACACAGGAGATGAAGATGTTTACATCTACAAGGTCATCAGTCAGCTTGAGATTCCACAGTGAGTCAGTCTTCTGTCCTCCCAACCAATTGCCAAGACCAGCTCGGTCGTGGAGACCCTAACCCAGTGGCGCTAGAGGAATTAAAGACACAGACACAGAAATAGAGTGTAGAGTGGGAATCAGGGGCTGATAGCCTTCAGAGCTGAGAGCCATGAATGGAGTTAGACCCACATATTAATTGACAGTAAGCCAGTGATAAGCATTGCTTCTATAGATTATATATTAGCTAAAAGCATTCCTTATGGGAAACAAAGCATTCTTAGCGAGGAGCAGAGAAACAGGCCCTGGCTGATATCTGCAGCAAAAGCATGTTGTTAAGGCAAAAAAGCATGTTGTTAAGGAATCCCCCTGCAGATGTGGAGTCAGGCATGGTCACTCCTGCTGGACGTTAAGAAGGTGAAGGCTGAAAACCCAAGTAAGTACCAGGTATGGTCCTTCCACACTCAGCCACAGCGGAAGAAACAGGCCAGGCCATGTCAGGAGCCCAGGTCTCTAGCTAGAGGAAAAGTCAAGCCTGAGTGATGGTCAGTCCCATATCCTAGGCACAGACGATGGCATGGGAACCACAAGTGAACTGGGCTCTGGTGACCCTCAGTGGCTTTGGAAATAAGATAGAGAAGGATATTTCTGCAAAAAAAAAAAAAAAAAATCGTCTTTCCTTCCAGAAGTGCTGAATGATTGCTGTTTGTGGTAGTGAGCCTTTTGTCTGTTATAAGGCTGGTTCCTTCCTGAGGAACCAGCCCTTTAGCCCTGCCCTAAAGAAAATAAAGGAGCAGGGCTCCTATACAGGGCTCTCACTGTAAAGCAACTGCGGGAGAGTGAGCCCCAGGGAAGGACCAGCCCCATCCTCATCCACCACAGGTTATCAGTCCAGGTGGCCACTTAGGGAAGGGAAGAGGGTCTTTCTATGGGCTCACACTCAGGAGGGCCTAGGATTTGGGAGCAGAGGGAGCAGAAAATAAAGCAGCAGGGCAAGATGTCCTCAGCGAAAATAAACCAGATTGACCTGGACATGAAGTGCACCTTCAGACACCATGTCATGTTTTGGGAGCACTACAGAGTCAGGTAAGGCCTATGGGGGATGGAGGGTCCCAGGGGAGACGGAGGAATTCAGAGGAATAGGGGCATCCCATGCAGGAGTCCAAGATAGGACGTGACAGAGCCCCCCAAGGGCTCTCTTGGCCAGGGAGCAGCCAGCATCACAGAGCATCTACTGAGCTCCAAACCATGGGCCGAGCTGGGGCATGTGGGTCCAGAACCCAAGTGGCTACTGAGGAAACAAGCAGTAGCAAACACAATCATGCTGCATGGTGAAAAGTTCTCTCTATGACCCACAAGTACCTGAGGTAGAGACCCACAAGAGGGGCTCAGACTTCACAGGCAACACTGACAACACCAAACACCATAGAGGATGTGGAGCCACAAGAACTCTGTGCATTGCTGCTGCAAAATGCTGCTGCTGCTGAATGCAAAATGGTACAGCCGCCTTGGAAGACAGTTGGGAATTGCTCACAAAGCTAAATGTACTTGTACCACGTGACCACAAGTGTCATAGACGTTGACCTAGCTGACTTGAAAATGTATGTACACCTAAAACCTACATGTCACATTCACTGCCTTATTCATTATCACTAAAACCTAGAAGCTACTGAGATGACCTTCAACACAGGTCCCAGGGGAGATGGAGGAATTCAGGGGAATGGGCGCATCCCATGAAATGAGGTTATACCTGTTTGGTATAATAAAATTACAGGTTAAATCTATAAATATAAATTATAATTATAGATTATTAGGTTACATTTATTTGGTATAATAAAATTATACAGTAGGTATTGTCAAATATGAAATTAATATCTAATGATTGTATTATACCAAATAAGGCAAATATGTGTCTTTTGGACTTAAGGGGACCTAATATCAAAAAAATTAATGAGTCAAAAGGACTGAATTTAGAATTTAATTTTGAAAAAATCAAATATCAAAACTTTAAAACACCTGCTATCACAAAATAGGATCATTGGTCATTGGTCATTGTAAAATAAGTCATTCATTTAACCAAAGTGATAACTCAAAGATTTCAAAAAAAAAAAAGTCAAAAGACAAAACCATTACTCTTTGAGAGAGGAGACTTAATTTTCCAAACAATAAGCCCTAATAAAGATAGCATGAGGCCAATGAAATCTGTTTCTCAAATCTTATAAACAAATCTATTAAATTTTAATGATCTTCACCATACTATATAATTTCCAAAAACCTTTTTGTAACATTTTATAATTTTTTAAATGAAAAAGTGGGTTAATACTCCAAGAAAACCTTGTTAATCTGACACAGGAGCTCAGAGGTTAGTCTTGCATCAGTGAGCCTTTGATACTAATCTTTACAGAGAAACTGTAACCAAGATAAAACCAATTTTATCTTTCAAAATAGGCTCTTACAATCGCATGTACCCACATCTTCCACAATAGCCCCTGGACTTTGAGGGGTAAGATAGTTTCAATTTCTGGCCCTGTGTTTCATGAGTGCAGTTTCTTTTGATTATCATCTTCTCCTGGTTCTGAAGATACGGTTTTAGAAGCTTTCAGTGTTTAAGATTTAGCAGGACTTGGTGTCCTTTTTAGATACAGGAGTCAAAGCCCTGTAACTCAACAGAACAAGGACTTTAAAAGCAATACAGAACATTGTATGGATGTTAATAACTTTAATTTTTTAAATCTCAGTTTTCCTAGGCAAATAAAAAACTTAATGACATAGGAATTGTTTCAATAAAATATAAAATCTGTTTGTTAGGCCAGTTACCAAAAGGCAAAAAATAAATAAAAGACCTGCAGCAATTGCTTTTCCCTAGACTTCAAGTCAAAACTAATGAAAATGGTACTTGAATTAGTTAGATATAGGAAGGGTGTGTCTTGCATCATAAGTGAAAATTTTCAGTTTCATAGAAAAACTTCAAACCAAGAGCACAGAATGTTATATTGGAAGAAAATATTTCCTTTAGACCTTTAAGATAAAACACTTTTAGCATCATGTCACAGTAGCAGTTAGAACCTGAGGAAAAAAAATTATAGAAACTGACAAGAAAGTTGGAGAGAGCGATTATCTCAGGACTTATGAAGGGGAGAGAAAGGTGAAAACAGTGAGATTCAATAAAAGTTGAAATCTGGGGTAAAAAAATTAAAATATCTTGTAATTTGTTAAGAGTAAATTAATATCTTAAGAAAATTTTGTTCTTCTAGCCCATTCTTGAGTGGATTAGCATATTTTTAATATACACTAAGTGCAAAAGCACAGTCTCTAGAAAGACTAATTTCCTTTTAATTATAGCCAACTTGATCAAATAAATTCTTTTCTCATAAAGTCTCTTTTTACAAACCTTACTATGACTTACACAAGCCACTTATGACATGCCTAGACTTCCTGTTTTATCCTAAACAGCTTCTTTCCTAAATAACCAATCATTTTATCTTCTTTTTCTTTTTTTTAAGATTTCTTTGTTGTTGCTGCTGTTGTTGCTGCTGTTGTTTCCTTGAGACAAGGTCTCTCTCTCTGTGTCACCCAGGCTGGGGTGTAGTGGCATGATCACAGCTCACTGCAGCCTTGACCCACCCAGGCTCAAGCAATCCTCCCATTTCAACCTCCCAGGTAGCTGGGACTATAGATGTGCACCAGCATACTCAGTTAATTTTCTGTGTTTTTTGTATAGACAGGGTTTTACCATGTTGCCCAGGCTGGTCTGGAACTCCCAGGCTCAAGCAATCTGCTCACCTCAGCCTTACAAAGTGCTAGGATTACATGCATGAGCTATTTGCATCCAGCCATTTTATTTTAGAACAAACATTTACCATGCAAGATTTTTTTCTCATATAAAATTTTCCTTTTAACCTTTCTTACCAAAAATATCTCTTTATATTTTTAACTGTCTTTATATCGCTCTTATTTAGTGGTTCCTTTTATCTTGTTTCATAACCTTTAAATAACCTTTGAATTCAACAAAAATTATTTTCCTTTAAATAAGAACATATTCTTAGCAAAATGTTTTTCTGTAATTTTTTTAATTGTGAATGACCCAGACATTTAATAAATGCCTGTTATGTAATATAACTTTAGATTCTAAATTATATTATGCTTATTTACAAGCATTCCTTCCATTACATTTACCTAACTTATTTTTAATAGTTTACCTAGATTACTTATGAAAACTGTGATAATCAACATTTAAAGGTATTTTCCTGTTAATCATTTATATAGCCTGTGAATTTCAGGTGTTTACCTAAGTAAGAAGCTTAAGGTTAAACAAATGAGTTTTTCGCCAATAACTCAGGATAAATGACTTATTTATCAAAAAAAATTACACAAGGATAATTATCTTTTGAGTTACATTTATAATTTTATAACCGTCATGCCAAATTTTGACACCTTATGTATATTAGCATTTAATCAAGCTGACTTTTAACCACTGAGCTTTAAAAATCCTTTAAAATCTCATTGCTGTAACCGAGTACACCCATTTTCCTGAGACATCAATTATTATTTTTTTTCTTTCCTTTTCTTGTTCCTTCAGTTCCCCACTCCCTACTTAGGCTTTTAGGAATGCAAATATAGCCTTTTACCTCCCCATTACCGGACTCTCCCTACAGTGCAAGTTCATCTAACTACACGCTCAAACTGGAAAGTCAACTTGAGAATTAACAGTTGATTTATAAACCAATCATGCCCACTGTGGAACTCTCACTCTTTAGGAGGTTGTCTCAAGAGATAACAGCCTGCCCATGAAGGTGCCAGCAGTCACAAGCTGATTGCCCCGTAGATAAGGCACAAGAGCTAGCATGGACCCCCCGCCACCACCCTTGCTCACTTCCTCCCCTGCTTTTTAAAAGTGAAGCCATATGGAGGACACCTGCATTTCTTCCCCTAAGCTAGTTTTGGAAATAAATTACTTTCTTTATACCAGACTTCACTTTTGTTAATTGGACTCTGCAAGCAACAAGCGACTAACCTGCATTTTGGTTACATTACCATGTTTTAGGTGGGACAAACTTCTAATATTTCAAATGTAACACAAATATCAAACCAGTAAAGACTTTATTTAGGAACCAAACCCAGGCTGCCATGGTGGAAAAAGGGCAGAACCTTAGCTACTGAACTACAGCATGGGGCAACCACTATTGCTATTTCAGTTTGGCTTGGCTAGCAAAGGGTTGTTTTGTTATGTAAATAAAGCCCTTCAGGTAATTGAAATCTTTCTTGCTTCGATGGCTGATTTTTCTTTTTTTTCTCTTTGTTTTTCCAGCTTCAGGAATTTAGCCAGTTCAGAGGTCTTGTTCCCCATAATTTAGAACTTTCCTTCAGGTTTGACCAAGTCAACTAGAGTGGTCAAACCCAATGGAAAAAAGACTAAAACAACAAAAACAGAACCAAACAAATAAACAACAACAAAAAAGTAAAGCAAAACAAATGATTGCACAATTTATAAGATTACTGAGCACTCTAATGGTAAGGAGGAATCAAGACCAGCTGGTAGTTAATCTTAACTTTCAGAGAATTTCCAAGACAAACCCCATTTCAGCTACTTATGTAGGAATAAGGCCCAGGTTGAAGATTGCTCTCTATCATCCTAGAAGCAGGAAAAAAACTCAAAACTCATCTTCCCTGTTGGAAGCAAGCTGAAACTCTGGAAAGGAGTTGCCTGCTTTCCATTATCATGGATTCAGAAAAACTCATCTTTTTGGATGCAAGTAAAACTCTAGAAAAGGAGTTGAACAGCAAAATAAACCTTAGATCTCAACAACATTTTGAGAAATCAGGGATTCTCTGGAGATGATACCTCCCAGGCCTCAGCAAATCGTCCTGTTGGTTTTGTTACTGGCAGCAAATCCATATGGGTCTGCAGCAATCTCAATTCTTGCCTTCTCAGAAGAAAGAATTCGACTGAGGGGCATACGGCAGAGTGAAAGATTGAGGCAAGTTTTAGAGCCAAGAGTGAAAATTTATTAAAAAGCTTTAGAGCAGAAACTGAAGAAAGTAAAGTCCACTTGAAAGAGGGCCGAGTGGGTGACTTGAGAGATCAAGTTCATGGTTTGATCTTTGACTTGGGGTTTCATACATTGGCATGCCTCTTGGGGCGGGGGAGTGGTTTGCATCTCTTCTCCCTTGATTTTTCCCTTGGGGTGGGCTGTCCACGTGCACAGTGGCCTGCCAGCACTTGGAAGGGGCAACATACACAATGTGTTTACCAAAATTGTACACATGCTCACTTAAGGCATTCTTCCCTTACCAGCCGAGTGTTCCTGGAGAAAGGTTATATACTGGTTCAACTCTGCCATTTTGCCTGTTAGTGCACATGCTTAAGTCCACTAGCCCACCTCCTGAGATCTTATTGGGAAGCTGCTGATTACCAACTTGAGGTGTTTCTATTGGGAGGCTGCCTTTCCCTGGCACCGGCTGCAGCCAATTATTATTTTCAAGAGGCAGTTTAACAACCTCCTGACCACCATCTGATGGTTGCCTGACATTCCTGGGCGAGGGTCCCTCTCCTGACCTATTCATGTCTGACTAATTACCTATTGTAACAGTTTGAACAATAAAGATAGCTCAAGGCCAGACATGGTGGTTCATGCCTGTAATCCCCGCTCTTTGGGAGGCCTTGCAAGACCAGAGGATTTCTTGAGCCCAGGAGTTCAAGACCAGCCTGGGCAACAAGGCAAAACCCTGTCTCTATGAAAATTACAAAAATTAGCCCGGTGTGGTGGCACAAGCCTGTAGTCCCAGCTACTCAGGAGGCTGAGGTGGAAGGATCACCTGAGCCCGGGAGGTGGAGGCTACAGTGAGCAGGGATCGTGCCACTGCACTTCAACCTGGGTGACAGAGTGAAACACTGTCTCAAAATTAAAACAGATAAAATAAAAATATAGCTCATACTGGTACCATGCACAAGTAGATTTGTCAAAGGTCAGGGCCACCTTCACTCAGAGTCTCTTCCGTTGGTTGCCAACTTGTAAACGAAAAAGTATGTCAGATAGGTCTCAATCAGTTTAGAATTTTCATTTTGCCAAGGTTAAGGACGCACCCAGGAAACAGGTATATGTACCTTTCTCAAAGATGATTGTGAGGGCTTCAATATTTAAAGGTGAGAAGTGTGCTAGATGGGAAAGAGGGTGTGGTTATCCACATGTTGCAAGAGAAAAGGAGTAGGCAGGAAAACAGTCAATTATGGATTCATCTCACACTCAGTAATAGGCCCTTTACATAAGGTGAACATAAGACTAGCTACTTGAGGAGCTATTTAACCTTCTATCTGTAGCTATCTGCTGAGGAACAAAAGGAAAGACAGTTTTTTGCATGACTCAGCTTTCAGCTTAATTTTTTCCATTTGGCATAGTGAATTGGAGTCCTGAGTTTTATTTTCCTTTCCCACCTCAAACCCCACAAGCTTTGCGTTGTTGCAGATTGTCCCTCTCAGAATATTTTACAAGATGGTGAAGTGCCTAATGAACATTTCTTTTGTCATAAAGTGAGTTTGGATCCTGAAGAAGCCATCATCTTAATCAGGCTTTGGGATCAAAGTTCCCCTTCACCCGAACCCTGAACAGCACAGCAGACAGGGAAGGACTTACTGAGATGGCTGCTCCCACTCTCCAGCCCCCACTTTCCTGACCATTCCTGGCAGGAAGAGCTGCTGAGCAGACTCCATGGGCTGCCCACACAGGGTCTGGACCTAGCTGTCTTCCTGTGCCCAGCAGCCTGTGAGCCATCCCAGTCCCCTATGTGCAGTGGTCAGCACCCACAAGCCAGCCTTCATAGGGATTCAGTTCATGGGTGTTGCCCTGAGCCTGGCACAGTGGCCTCCCCAGCTTAGCATCTGCAGTTCGGGTCAGGGTGTTCTTAACGGCCCTCACCTATGCCTTTTCTGGCCACACATGAGTTTGGATGAAGCAGGAGTCTCTTCCATAGCTCCTTTTCATCTGAGATGTCCATGACTGGCTCAAGTGAACCACAGTGTCAGGAGAGGGGCACGGAAGCTGCACCCTAAATTCCCCGGGACCTGTGGCAGGCCTTCCTGGTGACCTCTGCCTTCTCAGGTGACTTCTGCCCTCCTGGGTGACATTAGTTCTCCCCTCTCAAGTGATCTGTGCCCTCCTAGGTTACCTCAGCTCTCCCAGGTGACCTCTGCCTTTCCAGATGACTTCAGTCTTTTCAGGTGACCTCAGCCCTCCTAAGTGACATTAGTCCTCCCTGGTTATCTCTGCCCTCCCTGGTGAACTCAGGTCTTCCAGGGGACCTCTGCTTTCCCAGATGATCTCTGCCTTCTCAGGTGACATTAGTTCTCCTAGGGGATATTAACTCTCCCAAGTGACCTCTTCCCTTCCAAGTGACCTGTTTCCTCAGGTGACCTCAGCTCTGCCAGGGGACTTCTGCCTTTCCAGGTAACCTCTGCCCTCTTGGTGACATAGTGTGCTCAGGTGACATTAGCCCTCTCAGGTGACCTCAACCCTCCAAGGTGACGTCAGCCTTGGTGAAGTCTTTCCATGATGACTTTGGCTTTTGCCAGAGGTAGGCTACTGCGGGGGCATAAGCCATATCATGCCATGAGCCACTATCCTGCTCATGTTCCAGAATGAGGAGACATCTGGGTGCTGGCCCAGCTGCTGGCCAATGAGAGGCTTGCCAAGCATGGTACTCTCCAAGGTGACCTCTGCCCTCTCAGGTGACACAGTCCTCCCATGTGACATTAGCTCACAGTGGACAGCTACCCACGAGGCATCACACAGCCAGGACAGGGGACGGCCACACTGGCTGGGTAATTGTGACTTACAGACAAGGCACCTTCTGTCCCCTGCTCATTTTGAGCCTCCAGGGTATCCCCTGCTGAGAGTCCCACAGGAGCCTGTGACTGGCCAGGGACCCGACACCCCAAGTCAGATGCCTCTTGTCCCCATCAGCAAATGGGATCACAGCTGCCCTGTGACCACCTTCTGCATCCTGGTGTCACAACCTTCTGGCCCTGACCTTATGCAGGGGACTCTTACAACCCTGCTGGTCCTTCCACCTCCCAGCTGGCCACCCTCCCAACCACCCTCCCTGCCCATGGCTAGACCAAGCCCAGATGACAGCTTCTCTCTGTCCTGTGTCCCCTGCCCTGACCCCACATCCAGGAGAAGGCCACACACCCTCCAGCACCCCTGGTCACCCCACCAGCTCCCACCTGTCCTCACTGCTTCAAAGGCAGGCCTGCCCTTCTGGAGCCATGGCCCTGGAAGCCACTAAGCAGTGCCTCCAGCCAGGCCCCAGGGGCATTCCCACCCCTCCTCTCCTGGCCGAGACCACATGATGGGGTCACTGGATGGGACAGTGAAAGGCCTTGGGGTCTGGAAGCAACCACCACTGCCCAACTGCCACTGCCCAACCGCTGCTGCCCAACTGCCACTGCCCAACTGCCACTGCCCAGCCTGATGGCTCCACATCTCAGGAGTAGGCTCTGATTCCTTGGGGCCCCAGGAGCCTCTCAGGAGTCTACATCCCAAGATGTTCTAACTTCCAGAGTCTCCAAGCCCATCAAGAGCAAGTTTTGCTAAAAGTGTTCTGAGAGCTTATGAAGCACATGGTGAGTGGTCAGTCCCTCAGCTCTTCCCCAGAGGCCCTGGGTCCCATGGGGTTAGCAGGGACAGGGGAAGCCTGGGGCTGGTGAGAGGCCAACTTCCAGCCAGGGCTTGATCTGGTTTTCAATGGATTCAAAGTTTGGCCTCCTTTTCCTTACCTGGAGGGGACAGAGGCACTGGGACCAGGCCAAGCTCTGGCTGAGCCAGGGCTAGGGGAAGTACATCCACTGGGGGCCCATGCCATGGGGAGGTGTTGGGGCACAGCCACCACTGTTCTACCTCTTGGGGAAGGGTCTGCAGTGGGGTCTGGAATACAGAGGTTTTCACGGAAGCCCAGGGGACCCTGAACACTTCTATTCCTTCTATCAGGACAAGGAAGGGTTGTGCATCCGGCTTTCCACCTTAAACTGGTTTCTATGGTGCTTCATCGATGAGATAAGGATGCATAGGAGACCCCAGGCCAGGTACCTCCTTTCCCCACAGTGCTCAGCTCCCCCAGCCCAGGGGTCTGGCTTCCCCAGGAGGACCCAGCTCACCCCCACCCCACAGG
Source organism: Homo sapiens (assembly GCF_000001405.40). Lineage (NCBI taxonomy): Eukaryota > Metazoa > Chordata > Mammalia > Primates > Hominidae > Homo > Homo sapiens. Next base: position 795,797 of record NT_167244.2, read on the forward strand.
AGGCACAGGCAGGTCTCTGCAGGGCACACAAGCCAGGACCTGTATGATGGGAGCTTTACACACCAGACACCAGGGAATTCTGGGCAGACTGGGCCAAGACCCATCTTGGAAGAGCCAAAGGAGCCAGGGAAGCCACAAGCCCTCAGGAAGCCCCTTATTCTGGGAACCACATTTCTGCTGAGATGAGTCCATCCCCATGAAGAGCTGCCGGACCTTGTCTGACCCAGCCTTATGGAAGATTGGGTGGGTCTCTTCCCAAGCAGAGGGAGCCTCAGGAAGTCCAGACTGAGGCTACAGTGGGCCCTGCTCAAGCCACCAGCCCCGAGGTTGGAAAGGCCAGGTCCTCCCACACCTGCTGTTCCCACAGACTTCCTTCATGCTCATCCTGTGGCTCTGGGATGTCTACCTACTGGGAGGTGAGTGTGTGGTGACAACTATGGTATACATGGCCTTCACAGCCACAGAATTAAGTCCCTGGGTGGCCAATGGTGCCCAGAAGGAGCATGCAGGACAGACCCTGGGACCTATAGCCAGGACAGATTCCTGGCTTCTGGTGTGTGATGACCTGAGAGCAGCATCCACACTGTCCAGATGGCTCTCTGCTCCAGCCTGGAGGTAGGGCCAGACCAGGCCTGGTGGGCTGGGCAGGGAGTGGACCCAGGTACCAAACCCACTCCTGACACAACCCAGATGAAAGGCAAGAGTGTGTTGAGCACTTCCCTGCCCAGGCCTTCCTCCAGCTGTGGTTTTCTGTGAACATCTGGACCCCTGGGGCAGCCACAGTAGGATCCAGCACCGCCCAGTGGTGGGTGCCTGGGGCAGGAACAAGGTGCAGACACTGACTCTCCCACAGACCCCTCCCAGCCTCATAGTCACCCTGTCCCTAGAACACCCCCTGAAGCTGTTCCTGTTTGGCTTGCAGGAGTTCCTTCAGGACACACTGTCCTAGGCCTGGGCCCTGGAGGAGGACATGGTGATGAGGCACCCTGAGGCCTCCATGGGGGAACTGAGAAGCATGCACTGTGACCTGCACACCCAGGTGGGCTTCAGCACCAAGTCTCCTCCTGTGTCACCCTGCGGGGCAGTAAATAGTGGGAAGTGCCCAGACCTCACCAGCCCTGCTCCCTGGGCCTTCCTCCAGCCCCTCCTCTCCCTCCTCCTCTAAGAAGCTTCTGAAACCAGGCTGCCTGAGCCTAGGGCAAAAGCTGACCTTGGGTTTACTGGACATGCCTCAGAGACAATGAGACGTGAGCAAGACTCTTCCAAGCCCCTCCCCTGTACCCTCCTGCTCTCACTCCTGAAAGCCCCAGAAGGACACTGGAGGGGTCAGATCCATCTGTGCAAGCCCACAACCACACCTGTGAGTACCAGCAGCCCTGGAGAGCAGCAGGGGGCCTTCACTCCTGAGCACCCCTCCAAGGGCCTAAAATCAGTGTCAGAGACCCTAAGAGAATCTAGGGAGAGGGCATAGGTGAAACCCTGGCCCAGAGCCAGAATTGATTGCTCAGCTGAGTGTGGGAACAGTCCAGCCCTGGCATGGAGATCCCCCAGAGGAGTGGAGGGTGTCTCATCCACTGTGGAGATAAGCCCCCATATTGCGTGGCAAAGGGGCTAGGTAACAGTTAAGGCCTCATCCATCTGAGCTCTGAATCAAGGCTAAAGCCCAGGCTAAGCAGCCCTGGGGCAAGAGTGTGAGGCAGGAAGACTGAGTCAGCCTGAACCCTGGGGGCTGTCCCTGGAGTGACTTGAGCTTCCCTGACAGCTTCCCCACTCTAGGCTGCACACACACCTCGCTCTGGGAGTAGCAGCCTGCAGGAGTGTCCTCAGCATTAGACCAGGGAGACCACACGGGGACCCTGAGGACTGCAGGGACCCAGGTCTGTGGGGTCCAGCCTGGCAAAAGCAAGATGTTCTCAATGGAAAAGCTGACCAAATCTGCTTTCCTTTCAGCCAAACCTGAGCAAGCACCCCCACCACCCAGGCCTCTGCAGATATCCCCCAGCATTGAGACCCTCCCCAAGGGGATGGGCTGCTTCTCCCTGGCCCACAGCCCAGCTCCAGCAGCCCATGGGTATAGCCCTCCTGAAACAGGAGCCTCATCCTCCCTCACCCTCACCTGGCTATGCTGTACCCAAGGCCAAAGCCCAGAGGCATAAGGGAGCTTCTGCAGAGCCCAGGACAGCAGGCTGCTCTCTGGGGGCCCTGGGGACTCAGAGTGTGGCCAGCCCATCCCCAGCTCAGGATAGACCACAGAGTGCTTGGTGATTCCTGCATTGGAACTCCCTCTCTAAGCTCCCCATGGACCTGGACCTCAGAGGTCTGTGGTTTTCACAGTAGAGCTTGGAGCAGAGATGCTAGGCCCCTATCACTTCCATATGTGTCCTGGACACCTCTAAGATCATAGGACTGGCCTAGCCCCCAATACCAGACACTGCCCAGCCCCCTGATAGCCCAGAGGTAGGGCCAGAGACAACTCTCCTGCATGTGATGCCTACAGCTGATCACTCTTGGCAGACAGTGAACATCACGGCCCAGAAGGAGCCAGGGCAGCACTTGGCAAGCTGCCCCAAAGCCCCAGAGAGCTCCTTAGACATGGAAAGTCAATACTGATGGGGAAGCTGGACACTTGGAGGCCACTGGAGGGAGGGGTGAGCATGGTGTCCCCACAGCCCAGGCCACCCAGCAGCATGCCCTGCATCCATGGTCCCAACCTGTAGGGCAGAACCCCCCTCTCAATGCACAATTCCTAGACCCAGAGGGCCCTAGCCCAGACTCAACCTGAGCCCTGAAAGGGAAGGGGCACCAGGGGTGCCTTGGGGCCTCCAGCAGCAGCCAAGATACACAGGAGATGGAGCCCCCTGTGGCCCTGGCCAGAACTAGTATTTGGCTTAAGGCGGAGCAAGCCCCCTTGGAGCACTGCGTACATACCCGGGGCCTATGTGTGCCTGGCAAGGCCAAGCTGATGATGTTACCAAGCTCAAACTACCACTGGCCACCTTGGTGAGGGTGGGGCAGAAACACGTGGACCAGCCACCAACCTCATCCATTCAAGGAAGCAGAAATGGTCAGGCTCCTGCAGGATAAGTGGCCACCACCAGACCACCAATGGGGCAGAGTTCTGAGGCCCAAGCAGATGGCACTGGGGCCCTGCTTCCAGGGTCCACAATCTGCTCCAGGACACAAGACTGAAGAAAACTAAGCAAATGAGAGTCCAGGAGGCTGGATCCCTCATCTGCCATTCTTGGCAGTTGCATTTTGTGGTCAGAAAAAGTCAGGAAACTTGGCTCTACTCACTGCAGGAGGCTCCAAGGTGGGACCAGAGCTTCCAGCATAGATTCAACAATGCCTAAGAATGCCTCTTCTTGGGGAAAAGGACCCCTTCCTTGGCCTCAAAGCCCCCACTTATTTTGATTAAAGCACAATAAAGTCTTTGTTGTTATGTCCTGCCTGTTTTTGAGTTGCCCAGAGCTCTCTGCAGGAAGCCCTGGACATACTGGGGTGGATGGGAAATGAAGATGGCACAGCCCAGACCCTGACCAGCCTCTCACAGCCTCCCCATCCCAAAGGCCGCAGCAGGGCCAAGCACCAGAAAGGCCAAGGTTCCCACCCAACTGTGAGCCACACTGCACTGCAGCCTCCCACTCTCAGGCAGATGCCAGGGTTAAGACCCTCCAGTAATTTCCTGTAATTCAAACTGCACCTGATAGGGACCCCCAGAGGGCTGGGAAGGGAGCAAAAGTTGGAGTTCCAGTGACATTGCTCATTCATGACAGTCTGTACAAAGCATCCCTGAGAGGGTCTGCTGTCACCTGTGTCTACTGTCCCTGGGTGGCTGGTCTCCGGCAGCCCTCCCTTCCTTTCTTCCCTCCTTCCCTCCCCACATCCCTCCCTCCCTCTCTTCCTTCTTCTCTTGCTTCCCTCATCCTTTCCATCTCATCTCCTCTCAGCATCTGGCAATCCCAGGTCCTGAGCCTGTGCCAAGGCGGGACACAAAGGACACCACTGACAACAAGCCAGGTGACTAGCGGGGTCGGGGAGCCTTGTGGAATCAGAGTGGATGGGGAGGGGCTCATCTGTGCAGCCCAGGACTGCTGCCCCGGGAACAGTCTAGAACAGTGCAGAAGTGTGTGTCCCTGTGTGTGCACATGTGCACGTGTATGTGTATGTGTGTGCGTGCCTGTGCACACCTGTTTACTCAGTTCTGCTCTAAGTCCATGTCCACGACCCCAGAAGATCCCAGGTATGTCCTCACTGACGTCTGCTGAAATCAAGCATGGCCCCTGCTGGTAGTTATTGCACTGTGTAATGCCATCGTCGGGACCTCAGAGCAATAGAAACCAGTGGACCCCTTTAGGCTTTTCTTTCCAATGGGACATAAAGAAGTTATATGGACAGAAGTTATATCCTGTTTTCTTTCCATTGATTCTTTTACCACCTTTCTCCTCTTACTGATTTTGAATGAAGGGGGTTTTTCATGAGGGTAAGGTAACTGGCAAGAAATGAAATAACAGCCAGATGCAGTGGCTCACGCCTGTAATCCCAAGATTTTCGGAGGCCAAGGAGGGTGGGTTGCCTGAGTCCAGAAGTTCAAGACCAGCCTAGACAACATGGTGAAAGCCCATTTCTACCAAAACAAAAAAATTAGCCAGGTGTGGTGGCACGCGCCTGTAGTTCCAGCTACTGGTGGGGCTGAGGTGGGAGAATGGCTTAAGCCTGGAAGTCAGAGAGTGGAGATTGCAGTGAGCTGAGATCACGCCATTGCACTGCAGCCTGGGCAGCAGAGCAAGAACCTGTCTCAAAAAAAGAAAAAAAGAAAAGGAAAGAAATGAGATACCGAGAAACTAGCAAAGCTTCACCTGGCTGTCTGGAGACAGCCCTTGTGTGGTCCCCAGCCCACCTCACAGGTTCTAGGCTGGCCACCCTGTGGCCTCTGTACTGTGTATCTGGACCCAGGCTCTGTGGGAAGGGTACCTGGTCTGACAAACATTCCTCCATTTTTCTGGCTGCAGCTTGGAATAGGCCCAGACAGCATGTCCAGGAGATGCCAGACAACCTCACTATATCCTGTGAGACAGGCCCAGTGGGCCTTGAAGGAAGGGGTGAGCATGAAGCTGGGCACCCAGAGCCTGAGACCAACTGTCCCTCCCTGTGCCCTGGAGGAGGGGCCTGGCCTGTCAGTGTAGATGTGGGGAGAGAAGGGTCTGTGGACCCAGGAAGGGACATTGGTAGGGGACTTTGAGCACCACTGCTCAGGGGACATGAATGACAGGGTGGGAGGCATCTCCCATTTCTGCCCTGAGCACAGCACCCCTTTGACTCCTGAGGGCCACGAGGAGTCCACTCCCCAGAGCTTTTTGTAGAACCTGCATATGAGTCCATCAGAGGTGAGATTTGCAAATACTTCCTCCAGCCTGGGACTTGTCTTTTCATTCTCCTCACAGGGTCTTTCAGAGTGCACACATCATTTTGATGAAGTCCAATTGATCATTTTTTTTTCCTTTTATGCATCATGCTTTTGGTGCTTATCTAACAAATATTTCTCTAATCCAAAGTCACACTAATATCTACCTTTTTCCTTATGCAAATTTTAAAGTTTTAGGCCTTACATTTTGGTTTATGATACATTTTGAATAATGGTGCCATGTATGGACTGAAGTTTTTAATATGCATATCTAATTGTTCTAATAGTATTTGTTGCTAAGATTGTCTTTTCTCCACTGAATTTGCTGTACAACTTTTGAAAAACAATTGAACACATATGTGATGGTCTATTCTGGACTCTGTATTCTGTTCTATTGATCCATTTGTCTAGCCTCTTACCAATACCATACCGTCTGAATTTCTGAACCTTTACGATAGGTCTTGAAGTTAGGTATTGTTAGCCATCTTACTTAATTCTTCTTTTTTAGAGGGTTTTTTATTTCTAATCTAGGTCCACTGCATTGCCACACACAGAAACCCGTGCCCTTGAGCATACATACATATGCAACACAAGTATAAATATATGCACAGAACGACAAAGTGAAATTTATCCCAAGAATGCAAGGCTGCTTCAACGTTAAAAATGGGCCAGTATAACTCACCATATTAACAGATGAAAAGACAACAGCACATCATTATTTCAGTATATTTGGAAAAAGCATTAGACAAAATCCATCAACCTTATAAAAACTTCCAGTCTATTTCTATTCCTAAAAACTAGGAATAGAAGTGAATTTTCTTAAACTGATAAAAGGCACCTACAAAAACCCTGTAGTTGATGTTTACTGGACGTTATTCTTAATGATGAAAGACTGGATGGTTTCACCCCAGAGGAAGAACTAGGTGAGGATGTCAGCTCTCACTACTTGTATTCAGCATCCTATGGAGAGTCTAGCAGTGCAAAGGGCTCCTTCCTTTAGTAGACTCAGATTTCCATCTGGAGTCATTATTCTCCTGCTAGATGGATGTCCTTTACCATTTCTCAATCTGTACATCTCCTGGTGATGATTTCTTTCATCTTTTGTCAATCTGAAAACCTCTTTATTCTGCCTTTTTATTGGAAAACAAAATTTTGACTGTGTAAAGAATTCTAGGTTGGCATTTTTTTCTTTAAAAAAAATACTTCCATACAACTTGCAATTTTCCAACAAGAAATCTGCTTTGTATCTTTGATTCTCTGTACATATATGTCTTTTTCTTCTCTATCTAGCTGCTTGTAGGAGGACTCAGCTTCTCGCAGATAGACATGTATGATAAAGATGCAGTAACTACATCAAGTGTGGTATTGTCCATGGATGGATAAATAGACTGATGGAATAGAGCAGAGGGCCCACAGACAGACCCACAAGAGTCCAACTGTGATTGATCACCAAGGAGGAGCGTGATGGTGAAGGACTGTGCTTGTTATAATGTGCTGGGGCCTTTGGATAACCACTGACTAAGTGGGCCAAGTGGCCTTTTGGCTTAGGCTGAAGCAGGATAATAATAACGTTATCTATTCATAGAATTGTTAAAATTACCTGGTTTTATATTTGCAAAGTAATTAGAGCAGTATTGAGACAAAGGGAATCTTCAGTGAACATTTCCTCTAGTCATAGTTTTTTCCACCACTTGACTTCCTGCCCTATTCAGAGTCTTATGTTTGCCAGGACTCAAGCACCTCCTTATGGGGCAGACTCCACAGGGCATGATATGGTTTGGATCTATGTTCCCCACCCAAATCTCATGTCCATTTGTAATTTCCAGTATTGGAGGTTGGGCCTGGTGGGAGGTGATTGAATCATGGAGGCAGATTTTCCCCTCTGTGCTGCTCTCATTATAGTGAGTGAGTGCTCACCAGATCTGATTGTTTCAAAGTGTATAGCACCTCTCCCATTGCTCTATTCCTGCTGTTCCTGCCATGTGAAGACGTACCTGCTTCCCCTTCACCTTCTGCCATGATTGTAAGTTTCCTGAGGCCTCCCCAGCCATGCTTCCTGTACAGCCTGTCAAACTGTCAGCCAATTAATCCTCTTTTCTTTATAAATTACCCAGTCTCAGATATTTCTTTATAGCAGTGTGAGAATGGACCAATACAGGGCATCATGGTCAGTCCTGGGGAACAGCTTCCTGGAGTGGGAGGAGCTCAGTCCTGGTAACCTGCTGTTCCCTTGCCTGAAACCCCTTGTTTCCTCCACCTTCCATCTCATTCAACAAAGCTCTTGGGAGAACAACTTTAAGGACTCCCTATGCCTCTTCCTTCAAAGGTAGCCAGCCAAGAAGTAGATGGCTGGTTGAGCCATACTGACTACCATGGACAGCAGCAACAGAAGGTCAAAGGCAAAGGTCAGGTATTCTTTTCCTGGCAGGTACACAAGGACAACTAAGGGCAGGCCCCAAACGAGGAAGCTGATGGCCACAAAGCGGACAATGTGGTAGATCCGGATGGGTGAACAGTTCTTCAGGCAGTACAGGCTCCTGATGATCAAAGTCAGGCTGGAAATGCCCACCACAAGACAAATAAGCATGTGAAATATTATAAAGCCTGCCTGAAATTGGTCACATGCCAGGCCCTTCTCCCATTACTCACAAACCTGGCTAACCACATGCAAAGAAAGGGCCAGGGCCCAGCTCAGGATGCTCATCACAGCAGAGGTGTGCTTTGGGCGGTGGCAGCACCAGGTGGGACAGAGGACACACAGAAAGCTCTCAATATTCATGGCCACCAGGAGACAGAGACTCACTGTGTCAGAGAAATAGGACACAGGCTCCAGAAACATGGCCACCTGCAATGTCACCTGGTGATACAGCATGAGGATTTTCTCCAACAGGATCACAGTTACACAGGAGAGGTTGACCATATCAGCAGCGGCCAGGTTAAGGACATAGGTCATGTAGGGGCTGCTCCTGACCTGGAAGCAGAAAAGCCAGCACACCACACCATTGCCCACCAGCCCACAGAAGGCCACCAGCACTGTCAGGATGAAAACCACCTGTTTGCCCACCAACCACTCGCCTCCCGTATGACTCATGTTCACTTGTCCTGGGGTCTCTGTCCTGTTGTCCCAATCCAGCTTCCCAGAGAACACTGAGAGAAACTGGGCCATGGTGGGCTGCCTTGGCTGCCTGGGCACACCCTGCAAAGACAAAGGTTGGTAACTTACCAGGCCTAGGAAGGAGAGTCAGGGTTGCCTTCTGACCTGCTGGGCTTCCCAAGAGGGTCCTGCTGGGCCTCCCAAGATTGGTGGGAATCTCACAGAGCAAAGTCAAGGAGAGGAATGAGTCTCCTGCAAGTGATCCATCCATCCCATATCCTCCACTGCAGGGTACCCTCTCCTGCTTGCCCCCATCCCTCTCTCCACCTCGTTCAGGTATTCTTGATGCTGTGCCCAACACCAGGTGTGTATCCATGCACCTAGGTGCCCATAAAGGAAAGAGGTGCATTTCTTTACCTTTGTTCTCCAACTCTCTCATTGACACAGACAGTTTTCATGGCATGGTTTTGGTGGAGGCACCAGGCAATTCCTCTGCCCTAAGGTTCTGAGATATTCTGAGTCCCACATGGGGCAGTTGCTTTTCAGTGCTCTAGGGAAGGTCTACCCAACCTCTCTCCTGCTCACCTCCCCTCAACTCCTCACTTTCAGCACGAGGGCCTCCTGGTAGGACCTTTATGTTGTTCTGCTGCCTGGAAGGGCCTCTGCACATCTGTAAGCTTTGTATCCTCTTTCCAATCTTTGCCCCAGTATCAACTTCCAGAGAAGCTTCTGCTTCCTATTAACATTGCATTCATCACATGCTGAGTGTCTATGCAACTTACTTACTTCTGCAGAAATCCCTCTGTGGGAATGGAAGATTTATCAGGTTTTTTATTCTCTTCACAATGTTGTTCAATAACTTCTCCAGCTCCTGGAACAGGGTTTGACATAGAGGACTCACTTGGGTACGGCACCTATGGAGAGCTTTATGCAGCTCAGTTACACTTGGGGAAGTGCTGGTGACCTCTTCATAAAAGCAAACTTTGCTTCTGAATCACAGAAGCTTCTGGAACAAAGCTTGTTCCGCAAACTGATTTAAAAAAAAAGGCTTCTTGGACTCCTGAGGGAGACTCACACCTGAACCCTGGGCTACGTCCACAACAGGAGCAGGCACTCTCCTCCACATTGCCAATCACAGGTCTTTCTTTGTAGAATCATGAGGGGAGGGTGACCAACTTATCCTGCTTTGCCTAGGACTTTCCCAGTTTAAGCTCTGAACATCTCTTGTCCTGAAAATCCTCATAGCCCTAGGAAAACCAAGGTGGTTTGTTGCCCAACTTGAAAGTTAAACAGGAGAAGGTCAGTACCCCTTCTGGAATCCCACAGCTTGGTTAAACCCAGTGATCTGAGGAGTTCATGCTGAGACTGTGAGAGCTGACCTCTTGGGGGCAAATCCCAGCTCTTTTTCATAGTAGCTGACTCTTTCTTTGCCTCAGCATCCCCATCTAAGTAAGGGCTGCTGCTATGGGATGAATTGTATTCTTCTAAATTCATATGTTGAACTATCCCAGTACCTCAGAATGTGACTGAATTTGGAGACAGGGACATTAAAGGGGTAATTATGTTTAGATGGGTCATTAGGGTAGGCCCTAATCCAATAGGGGTAGTGTCTTCATAAGTAAAGGAGATTAGGACACAGACACCCACAGGGGGATGACCATGAGAAGACACAGGGAGAAGGCAGCCATCTACAAGCTAAGGAGAGAGGCTTTGGAAAGAAATGATCCCGGCAATCTTTGGATCTCAGACTTTCAGCCTCCTAAAACTGAGAGAATGAACTTCTGCTGTTTAAGCCACTCAGTCTGTGATCTCTGTCATGGGAGCCTGAACTGATGATCACATTTATGATGAAAAGTTTACAGACGGAATTATGGAAAGTCTCAGAACAGTGAGATCTACCTGGTTCTACAACCCTGAGCTGCTGAAGCTTTGCTTCTGAATCACAGAAGCTTCTAGAACAGAGCTTGTTCCACAAACTAACTGATAAATGCCTGCGATATGCCTGGAAATATTCCACAGGTGACCTTGTGGCCTGCAGTCACATATTGGTGCATCAGCAGGGTTTAGGAGAATGCTAGGGACCAGCTCCAAGTGAGCCCAGTGTTTGAATCTTCCCTCCTTGCTGGGATGATGGAGTCCCCTTCAGTTGGCAGCTCTCTTGAAATGGAAGGGTCCAGCCCCAGCCCCTCCCCTCCCTGCACTTGTTACCTAGACACTCTTACCTGAGGCCAGGGAGGACCGCAGATCTGGCTCAGATCTAATCTGGTCATAGGATGAGTCTTGGGGCTTGGTAACATTGGTGCCCATGGAAACATCAGGGTGACCTGCAGTTCTGTGCCTGGGCCAGGGTGTCAGAACTCGTGATGATGACAGAAGAGAAGCTGCAAACAGACCTCCGTGGCCCACCCCAGGCCACCAAGGCACCAAGCAGGAGCAGTTGGGCTCTGGTCCCCAACAAAGAAAGGAGATTTATAGATAAAAGAGTTTCAAGGGGAGAGGTGACTTACCCTTCAACAAAGAGAAAATGCCCATTTTGGAGGCAGCATGTGGCTTCAGGGACAGAGCCAGGCTTCCCATCCCTGGGCTCACTGAGACCTAGCTCATGCCCAGAGACCACTACTGAGGCCAGTGACTAAGCAGCACATTCTTCCTCATCACACAAGAGGAGGACACAGCCCTCCTGGGGTGGGAAGGCTTCAGTGCCTGGTGCAGCCCCAGCACTGGGCACAGAGAGATCCTAGCACCTGGAAATGTCATTTCCAAGTCGGGTCATGAGCCAAGCTCCCCAAGGAGCATAAACAACAAACAGGTTGGATCCTGGGATTCAGGGAGCCAGCTCTGATGGAAGTGCTCAGGTTGATGCAGCCAAAATAGCCAAGTAACCTTTGCATTGGGATTGAAGTACTTGCTCTGGTTCTGAGTTGAGAGCCCACCCTCCCCACTTAATCTTTATTTGAGGTGAAATTTACATAACACAAATTAACTAATTTAAAGGGCACAGTTCTGCCTCACTTAGCACCTTCACAATGTTGTGCAACCACCACCTCTATCTGGTTCCAAAATATTTACATACCCCCATAAGAAAGCCTTTTACCTGTTAGCAGTTACTCCCCTTGTCTTCCTCCTCCCAGCTCTTGGCAACCCCATCTACCTTCCATTTCTGCACATTCACCTATTCTGGACATGTCCTATTAGTGGAATCAGACCCTCTGTGATTTTTTTGTCTGTTTCTTTCACTCAGCCTCTTGTTTTCATGGCTTCTTCACAGGGTAGCATGCATAAGAACTTCATTCCTTGCGTTAGATACAAACTAAATATGAATATAGAAGCTGTGAAATCAGAAGACCCAAAAGGATTTTCCTAGAAGTCATAGACTACACCTCAGTAATACAGTGGCTCAAATCCTACCTTTAACAGAATAACACACCCTCTGCCCATCTACACAGCTGGGGCATTTGTGAACCAGGGGCCAGGGCACAGTTGTGGCTCACCTGCTGGGACTACCCTGGAACCCCGAATCCTGCTTTCTCCAGGAACCTGGTTTCTGTCCTGTCCCCATTTTCCTGAGAAATGCACCTTCCCCAGTAAAAAATCATGAGGTTTCAAATTCCAGGAAAATATGTCTCTGAGTTAAAATGGTTTGAAAATGAAAGAAGGAAGAGAGATCTTTTCTCATACCTGGGAAGTCTTGGATAGAATTGGTACCACAGAGGCCAATGTCCTGAGAGATGAAAGTTCTGCCCACAGGTCAGGAAGCAATCTAACGATGTCTGATTTGAACTGGGTCCTGACAAGAGGTTGTCAATTTCTCTGTGTCTGTTGGGTCTTCCTGTACTGGGGCAAATTGCATATCAGGGCCCAGGCCTTTATCTGAAACATTGTATCTCAGCATCTCCTGATATCCCCCATCCCACTGACACTTTTGATTACTCCATCCTGAACAATAACTTCCCTCAAAAAAGAAGGATCTTTAAGACAAGTTGTCACCTGCCTCCCTGTGTGAATCTCCTAGAATGACATCCAGCCCAGCCCAGCCCATCTGAGACAGGCAGGAGAGGGAACTCTGGTGGGCATTTTGTCAATAAACTTGAGCATGCCAGGAACTCAAATGTGCTCCTTTCATTTTGCTGTCAATTGAATTGCATTTTTTTTTTTTTGCAAAAGATGTGGAAGTTCTTGTAAATCTGTGTCAGAAACTTACATTGGATTCACCAAGCCTAGGGAGATTTGGCTGTGCTTTGTTGGAGCCAATATTTTTCACCCTGGTTTACCCCACCACTGACTTGCTTTCTTTTTTTTTTTTTTGAGACGGAGTTTCACTCTTGTTGCCTAGGCTGCAGTGCAATGGTGCAATCTCGGCTCGCTGCAACCTCAGCCTCCTGGGTTCAAACGATTCTCCTGCCTCAGCCTCCTGAGTAGCTGGGATTACAGGCATGCACCACAACACCTGGCTAATTTTGTGTTTTTAATAGAGACAGGGTTTCTCCATGTTGGTCAGACCGGTCTCAAACTCCCAACCTCAGGTGATCCGCCCACCTTGGCCTCCCAAAGTGCTGGGATTACAGGGGTGAGCCACTGTACCCGGCCTTGACTTGCTTTTATGAGGCAAGAAAAGACATGTCTCCTTGTTGCACTAATTTCGATCAATCAATAAGTCAATTAGTTCATTTTCATTACATCTCTCTGAATCAATTGAGAGATAAATTGAGAAGTCAAAACAATGCCCAACAACATAGCATCTTTATTCCTCCCTCCCCTAATGACCTGGGAAGCAGTTTGTGACCCCAAAGCACTTGCTTATATGTTATTCTCTCCAGGAATTGAATTTACTCCTCAAAGTAATAGGCACAGGCACCCATGGTCAACACCTGTCTCCTGAAGCTTATCACTTAATGGAGGGAACCCAGGAGTATGATTCCTCCATGCAGACAGTCAGATTCTAAGGAGAAAGGAGGAAAAGTCCTTCAAATGCCACATTCAGCCCCTTCTTCTGGATGCCCCACTCAGCAAAGTCACTTGTGGCTGATGCTGGTCAGAGAAGCCCTTCCAAATGGGAACATGGGTGTAGGAAATATGTGCTTCTCACACTCCCAAAGGATCACAAATGGGGCCCTGTGTCTCTTAACTTCCTTATGTACAAAAGTACATACTCACTAGAATATGATTTTACAACATTTCCATCATTCCTATACAATGTGTTGGGAAGTGATCCTTTCTGATCTATATTTTGGAAGAGTTTGTATAGAATTGTATTATTTTTTTCTTTAAATGTTTGGTAGAATTCACCAGTAGAGACATCTGGGCCTGGGCCTTTTTTGTGGGAAGATATGCAATGACAGTTTTAATGTCTTTACTTCTTGTAGGCTTATACAGATTTTCTATTTCCTCTTGAGTCAATTTTGGTAATTAGTTTTTCTAGAAATTTATCCATTTCATCGAAGGTGTCTAGTATGTTAGGATAAAGTTGTTCATAGGATTTCTTTATAATCCTTTAAATTTCTATAAAGTTGGTAATGATGTGCCCAATTTCATTTCTGATTTTAGGAATTTGAGGCCATTTTTTTTTCTTGGTAAGTCTAGCTAAAGGTTTGTCAATTGTGTTGTTATTTTCCATGATTCAACTTTTGGTTTCATTACTTTTCTCTATAGTGTTTTATTTTCTATTCCATCTACTCTTGCTCTCTTCTTTATTATTTCCTTTCTTCTGCTTGCTTTGGGGTTAGTTTTCTCTTCTTTTCCTTGCTTCTTACCATAGAAAGTTGAATTACTGATTAGAGGTATTTTTCTTTTCCAATGTAGGCATTTACAGCTACAGATTTTCCTCTAAGCACTGGTTTATCTCCATCTCATAAATGTTGACATGTTATGGTTTCATTTCATTTCATGCATATTCTTTTTAATTTCCCCTGTGTTTTTTTTTCTTTCACCTGTTATTTGTGGATTCCTGAAGTTTCCAACTGTTGGTGATTACTCATTCAATTCCATTGTGGTTGGAATACATATATTGTATTAGTTCAATTTTTTTTTAATTTATAGATAATTTGTGCCCTCCCATCTAGTCTATCCTGGAGAATGTTCCATGTGTGTTTCAAAAGCGTGTATAATTCATTTGTTGTTGTCAAGTAGGTCAAGTTGGTTGATAATGTTTCAGGCTCTGTATCCTTGCTGATTTTCTATCTAGTTGTTCCATCAATGATTGATAATGGAGTGTTGAAATCTTCAACTATTTTTAATGATTTGTTTATTTATCCCCTCAATTCTGTCATTTTCATGTTTTATGTATTTGGGGGATGTGTTGCTAATTGTGTGTATGTTTATAATCCTCATATCCTCCTGATAAATTGAAATTTTATCATTATAGAATATGCCTCTTTATTTCTAGTAACGCTATTTTTCTCAAGGTCTACTTTGTCCAATATTAGTAGAGCTGTCTCAGCTCTTTCATCATAGTTTTCTACATGGTATACTTTTTTCCACCCTCTTTTTTTAACCTATTCATTTTAAAATCAAAACTGCCTCTGGTAGACTGCATATACCAGACATTGGACATACTAGGTGAACATATTAGACGAACAATTTTAAACACGTTCAAAGAACTAAAGGAAACCATGTCAAAAGAACTAAAGGAATGCATGAGAATGATATCTCACCAAATACAAAACATCAATAATGAGATGGAATGTTAAAAAAGAAACAAGGCCGGGCGCGGTGGCTCACGCCTGTAATCCCAGCACTTTGGGAGGCCGAGGCGGGCGGATCACGAGCTCAGGAGATCGAGACCATCCCAGCTAAAACGGTGAAACCCCGTGTCTACTAAAAATACAAAAAATTAGCCGGGCGTAGTGGCGGGCGCCTGTAGTCCCAGCTACTTGGGAGGCTGAGGCAGGAGAATGGCGTGAACCCGGGAGGCGGAGCTTGCAGTGAGCCGAGATCCCGCCACTGCACTCCAGCCTGGGCGACAGAGCGAGACTCTGTCTCAAAAAAAAAAAAAAAAAAAAAAGAAAAGAAACAAATAAAATTCAGTAATTGATAAATAAAATCGTAGAAATAAAAACTTCACTAGATAGCCTCAATAACAGATTTGAGAAGGCAGAAGAAAGAATCAGTAAATTTAAAGATAGGTGGGGAAATTATCCAGTATGAGGAACATGAATTAAAAAGAAGAAGAATGAACAGAGTTTCAGAGACCTGTGGGACACAATCCAGTGTACCAAAACACATAAACGAGAATTTTCAGGAGAGGATAGAATAAAAGGAACAGAAGGAATATTTAAAGAAATACTAGCTGAAAAACTCCAAATTCAATGAAAAAATGTTAATCTACACTTTCACAAAGCTCAACAAACTTAGATAAAATAAATTCAAAGAGATTCACACATAGAAACATTATAATCAAACTGCCAAGAAACAAAGAAAGAATCTTGAGGGCAAAAAGAGGGAAGCAACTTATCATGTACAAGAGATTCTCAGTAAGAATAAGAACTAATTTCTCATGAAAAATTACAGAGTCAGGAGGCAATGGGATGACATATTCAAAGTAGCAAAAGTAAAATACTGTCAATGAACAATTCTAAAGCCAGCAAAACTATTCTTCATAAATGAACTAGAAATTAAACATTCTCAGATTTTGAAAACTGAGAGAAGCTGTAATTACCAGACCTGTCTTATGGGAAATTATAAAAGCAGTCTTGCAGGTTGACATGAAAGGACACTACATAGCAACTCGAATCCACATGAAGAAATGAAGAACTCCAGTAAAGATAACTACATGGGTAAATATAAAAGACAGTATAAATGCAATTTGTTTGCGATTTCCTCTCTCATATGATTCAAAAGACAAATACATAATGAAATAATTATAAATCTGTATTGATAAGCCTACAATGTATAAAGATGTAATTTGTACGGCAATAAAAACACAAAGAAGCAGAAGAGAATGGAGCTGTATGGAAGCAAAGGTTTTGTGTGCTATTGAAATTAAATTGCTATTAATCTGACTAAATTGTTATAAATTATTAATTGCAAGATCCAGGGCAATATTTAAAAAATACCTCAAAAAGTATAGTAAAAGAAACAACAAGGAGAATTAAGTAAAACACTAACAAAATTTATTTAACATACAAAGGCAGTAATAATGGAATAGAGCAATAAAAAACACGATATAAAGAAAATAAGTAGCAAAATGACAGGTCAAAATCCTATACTATCAGTAATTACATTAAATGTAAATATATTAAACACCCCCTTTAAATGGCAGAGACATGAAAAAAAAAAAAGAAATCCTGTCATTCATGGCAACATGGATGAACCTGGAAGACACCATGTTAACTGAAATAAGCAGGCACAGAAAGATAAAGACTGTGTGTTCTCACTCACATATGGAAGCTAAAAAATGTTGAGCTCATTAGAAATAGAGAGTGGAATTTTGATTATTAGAGCACAGGAAGGATCGAAGGGAGGAGAGAGGGAAGGATAGGAAGAGATTGGTTCATGGATACAAAATTACAGCTAGATACCAGGGGAGGAGGCTGGCAAGATGGTGGAATAGGAATAGCTCTGGTCTGCACCTCCCAGCAAGATTGACCCAGAAGGTGGATGATTTCTGCATTTCCAACTGAGGTACCCAGTTCATCTTATTGGGACTGGTTGGACAGCGGGTGCAGCCCATGGAGGGTGTGCCAAAGCAGGGTGGGGCATCGCCTCACCCGGGGAGCACAAGAGGTCAAGGAACTCCCTCTCCTAGCCAAGGGAAGCCGAAGCCTTGAGGGACTGTGTGGGGAGGAACGGTGCACTCTGGCACAGATACTGCGCTTTCCTCACGTCTTCGAAACCTATAGACCAGGAGATTCCCTCTGGTGCCTATGCCACCAGGGCCCTGGGTTTCAAGCACAAAACTAGGAGGCTGTTTAGGCAGACACCAAGCTAGCTGCAGGAGGTTTATTTTTTCTGATTAAGTCAAGCAGCAGTTCTCACCGTGGCTAATTAGGCCTCCCACTGGGACATTTGGCAATGTCTGGAGCTGGTTTTGATTGTCACAATTAGAGAGGATGCACTACTATCACCTAGTGGGTAGAGCCCCGAGATGGTGCTAAACATCCTACAATGCACAGGACAGCACCCCCAACAAAGGATGATCCAGTCAAAATCGTCAGTAGTACTGAGGTGGAGGGCACTGATCTTTAGATCTTGTGACTAGGCTTTTTCTTTCTGAGTAACATGGAAACTGCTGAAAGATTTTGAGATAAGAAGTGGTATGATCTGAGTTGTTATAAATGGGTTACTCTGGCTTCCATGTTGAGAATATACTAAAGGTTAAGGGAAGAACCAGAGGATTATTTCAATCATCCAAGCAAGAGATGTTGACAAGGACAGACCAGAGTGGTGGTCCTAACAGTGATAACGACTTGTCAGTTTCACAACATATTTTTGCAGGTAGAGCCAATAGAATTTGTGGGTAGATTATATGTGAGTGAGATGAAGAAGAGTCAGTATCACAAGATTTTTGTCTGAGAAACTAGAAGAATGGATTTTCATTACGGGAGATGAGAAAGGCTACAGAAGAAGCACATTGTGGGGGAGAGGGTGGGTAGTAAGGAGCTCAGTTTATGGCATGTTAAATCTGAGATGTGTATTAGATACCAAAAGCTGCTGGTGGGTAGACAATTGGACATAGGAATCTGGAGGTTAGGAGAAAAATCCAGCCTGGAAATATAAATTTAGGAGTCATCAGCATATAGATGGTGTACAATGTCATAAGACTGGATGACGGAAGTGCACGTAAAAAAGGAAAGAGGACTGAACCCTAGGCACAGCAGGGAGAGGAGGAGAAACCAATAAAGGAGATTCAGAAGGAGCAGCTGGGAGACTTTGGTGATTTGAAGCTGTCAGTCAGCTCAGACTGCCATAACAAAATACCATAAACTGGGTGGCTTCAACAACAGAAGTTGATTTCTCACAGTTCTGGAGGCTGGGAAGTTCAAGATCAAGATGCTGGCTGATTTTGTTCCTGGTGATGGCTCTCCTCCTGGCTTGCAGACAACTCCCTACTTGCTGCCTCCTCACGTGGCCTTTCCTCTTTTATAAGGAAACTAATCCTATTTGGCCCTCACCTTTGTGACCTCATTTAACTATAATTACCTCCTAAAATGCCCATTTCAAATACCATCACATTGAGGATTAGATTTTCAACATATGAATTTTGGGGGGGGACACAATTCAGTCCATAGCAGAAGTGAAAGGCATGTTCCAAAAAGGAAAGCTAAGTCCACTCTATTGAAAAGCTTCTAACAGGTCAAGTAACATGAGGACTGAAAACTACTATATCAATGTGGAGGTCAGTTTGTGACCTTCGATGAAAGGTTTCCAGTGCAGAAACCTTGTTGGAGCCAACCCGAAAGAGAATTCAAGGACTTGGATGGTAGCTAGGGGGAAGTGAAGTCAAGAGAAGATTATTTTCTGATGAGTGAAATCAAAGTATGTTTATGTATTGATGGGGATGGTCCACTGGAAGGACAAATTATATTACAGGAAAGAGGGGAAAGATTAGAGTAATGTCCCTGAATAAGTGGAAAGGGATGGAATATAGTGGGCAAGTGGGGGTACTGGCATCAGACAGATGCAAAATAGTATATTCCTAGCAGTATCAGAAGAAAAGGTGGAGTCCCATATGTGAGCACAGATGCAAGTAGGTGAACAGATGGGTTAGTAAGAACTTCTCTTTTTATTGCTTTACATTTTTTCAGTAAAAAATGAAGTAAAATTTTTATCTGAGAAAGATGATATTATTTGAGAGAGAGGAGTACTGGGGATTTGAGGGGAGACCAGAAAGTATGCATGAGTTACGTAGGAGAGGGGAAAGTGAGTGGACTAGGAAAATATGATTATCAATGACATTAGCCCCTTCCTCTTAAAGTAGTGGTCATGAATGTAAAGTGAAACCTCTCAGTGTGGCTATTGGCTTTCCTTCGGCCACAGTCAGCTGAACAAATATAGGGAGAGAGTAGGACTATAGTTGGATTTAAATAGGAAAGCAATTTAGCTGAAAGAGTGTAACAAGTGAAAAGGGCAGGAACATTGATGTATGCAAAGGAGTAATAGTGATTGACGAGACAGTCTAAGCTTGATAGAGAACTGAAGATACAAGGGGCGTGAGGGGCC
This sequence comes from Homo sapiens, assembly GCF_000001405.40. Taxonomy (NCBI): domain Eukaryota; kingdom Metazoa; phylum Chordata; class Mammalia; order Primates; family Hominidae; genus Homo; species Homo sapiens. The sequence continues at coordinate 815,449 of NT_167244.2, forward strand.
ACGATGAATTTGCGGACCTCTCACTGAGGAAGAAACTGAGAGGAAAGTATAGAAAGATAATCTATGAGGATACTGAATTCACCAAGAATCATCACAGTACTGGAGAGAGTGAGAGGGGATCAGGGACAAAAATCTTCAAGGACGAAGGAGGAGCAAAGGGAAAGAGAATGATGAGAGCCACAAGTGGGGAGGTGGACTTTGGAGCAAAGCTGATGACATAACAGTCAAAGCTACATTCAAAACTAATAATGACTTCAACAAATCTACAAAATTCCTGACAGAAAGGGTTATTTTCCTTGTTTTACAGATGATGACATTGAGAGTCACTGAAGTTAAACAATTAGCTTAAGGTCACTCCATCAGAGAATGAAATTCTAAACCAGTTCCAATTGAATAGTAGAAATATTAATGAGAGGGAATTACACTGCCTTTGGCCTTCATACACTGCCAGAGGCACACTACCCTAAAGGGACTTTCCCTCCAGAATTTCCTCTTCCCCACTCTTGGGGACTCCTCTCCGGACACCTTCATGCAAAGTACTAATGATAGGAGTGGGACATCTATTCCCCAGAGCTCCATCCTCTCTTCTAAATAACAGGGAACGTTGAGTCCCCTGTTTTTTCTCTAGTGAGAGCACTCATCAGCATGCTTCCTCCTCTCTAACTGTGTCCTTTAGATCCAGGAGGGATATTTGCTACCACCACCAGCTAATGCTGATTTGCTACCAGCACAAGGCCCAGGTCCTTGTCTGGTCTGTACCCCATTACAAGGTTCTCCAGGAACAGACATCACCACCTCTGCCTAGATCCTGAAATTTCACAAATGTAGGTTCTTTCTTACCCGTTCTTTTTATTCCTCTATTTACAAGCACAATGACACCCACCCCTCGTCTTCTTCCTGAAATACCTGGCTCTGATCCCAGGCATCCATTCCAGAAATCAACACAGCTATGCAATTGCATCTTTTATTAAATACTCCCAACTCCATTTCAAATCCAGAGAATCCAGAGCAGGAGCAAGAGACCAACCTATCATCTGGAAACTCAAGGTGTAAACATTAGTGCCAAAGATTAGTCATGAAGGTAAGTTGGGTATTACAGTGCCCTACAACAAAATGGTCTTGTGCCGAGAGCCACATTCTGAAATACCAAGTGAAGTTTGATGACACATTATATTATATATTTCACAACAGATTTGTCTTCTAGATGTGTGAGGGAGATGATGGGTTTATGTGTACAGGTGCACACATGCCTATGTTTTGGGGAATTTGTGCATACATGTAACAAGAATGTTATCTGTGCAGTTTTATTATTGTGTGCCTGTTTTCATGGTGTGGCATATTTGAAGAGGAATGGTTTAGAGCTTGCCAGGCTGAACAGTTATGTGTCCGTGTAATCACCGCATTAAAGAATTTGACCTTTTGTAACTCAACATCTCTAGCCACCATTGGTCTGTAAGCCTGAATGTCACCTCTCCTACTTTATTCATCTCTGATATGACCCCAAATTATAAAATGATCTATAAATATAGGTAAGACTTTGCATGTCCTTTCATACTCCACAGTCTCTAGCACAGTGGATCCTGGTTGATCAAACAGGAAGGACCTCGAAGTTAGTCAAATATAAGTGGAAAACCTATTAAGCATTTACAAATAATGTGGCCTTGGGCAAGTAATTTAACTTCAGTTACTCTCCTAACATACTCTATAAAATAAGGCTATTGCCTAATATTCAAGTGAGTTAAGATTAGAGTTAATAAATGAAAAGAGATGTAAATGTTCATAGCAGTTGTATCACTGCCTAGCATAAGAACCCCTTAAAAACCTGTTTCTTAATTTGGGAAACAGATATGACGATAGTTAGCATTTATTAAAGGATGACAGTTAACAACTGCTATGTGCCAGGCCTTGTTCTAACAGCTTTTCATATTTAGCCCACTTAACATATTTCTATTTTCATATGAGGAAACTGAGGCAGAGAGAGGCTAAGTAACATACCCAAGGTTTTCCAGCTAGAAAATGGCAGAGCCAGGACTCAAACCCAGGCAGTCTGGCTGCTGAGCCCTGGTTCTTAATTATGACATTAATGCTTATTCTGCCCAGTGAGGATAAAATGAGTGAAACATAAAATCAAACAGGATGTTTTGGTAGGGAGCAGTGTTTTTTCCCTCTGAAAAATGAAAAATTAGGTTATTGTGATTTTGTAATTTACAGCAGTGAATATGATGTGAAAAATAAGTTATCCATATAATAATTTATGTCAGGAGTCATGCAGCAGAAAGATTTCTGTCCATCACATAAACTTTCATCCATTACATAACCCATATGTTTCTGTACCATTAAGACACTTGGTTCAACAAGACCCTTGGAGAATGAGGTTCCTTTTGTTCCCTGGGGTTCTCTTTTTATTTTATTTTTGGATTAATATTTGATAGTAAAGCCAAGGATTTGGGACAGGAAACTTAGATGACATCTAGTTCAAACTCCTTGATTTACATATGAAAAAATTGAGACAGAGGGAAATGAAGATTTCCCCATATCATATAACTGGCTAAAGGGAGCTATGTAGGTAAAACCAAGATGTCCTGATATTCTAGTCTACCAGAAAGTGTTCTTTTTTTCTACCCAACTTATTCCTGATTTAAAGGCTAGTATACGTGTGCTGATCTCCCCTCAGTGGGAGGGGCATGGACGTTGGGAGTAGTCTCTATTCACAACAAATTAAAAATCAGTAATCAGCCGTATAATGGGTTGTGTTAGAAAGTAAACTAAGGCCCAATAAAATATTTAAGAGTTTATTTGAGCAGTGATCCATGAATTGGGCAGCTCCAAGCCAGAAGTGGCTAGGGAGCTCCCCAGAGAGAACATGAGGAGGAGGCTTTTTAGGACAAATAGATAAAAGCAAAGATAATATTTCATTGGTTACAGTTATACAGTTACACAGTTATACAGTTGCCTTATTTGGTCTATCCCATGAGGAAGTCCTAGTTACTAATTACGTTTTTGTTGGCTGCTTCTGATTGGTTGAGCTTAAGTTCTGTGTTTCTTTAACATAGGCATTTACAAGAAATACCACAAATAAAGTTTCAGACATGCTTGCAAATCAAGCAAGGTTAAGGTCACTTAGGAGGCCCAACTGGCTCTGTCTGCTCAAGGATTCTTCTGGCCTCGTCTCCATTTTACATGAACTGTTGCATAAATAAACACAGAGTACCTGAAACAACGGAGGTGATCATTCTGCCTACCGAGTGTTGGCCACGCCAAGCTTGGAGTGTTGCTCTTATTCTTAGGGAGTTTATTTTTAAGTAATCTCATCTGTAAATGGGATTACAATCCACAAACTGACCTTGTATATGATTCCATTCCTTCTCCCAGCCCAGCCCCACACTCCAAGGTTTTCCCTTTGCTTATAAGGGGTAGTCACCCTTTTTTATTTCGACCTTCCAAACATTCTGGGAGTTTTCCTCCTTTAGGCCAACTACAGCGCAGAGGAGCGCTTTCTCCTGCTGGGTTTCTCCGACTGGCCTTCCCTGCAGCCGGTCCTCTTCGCCCTTGTCCTCCTGTGCTACCTCCTGACCTTGACGGGCAACTCGGCGCTGGTGCTGCTGGCGGTGCGCGACCCGCGCCTGCACACGCCCATGTACTACTTCCTCTGCCACCTGGCCTTGGTAGACGCGGGCTTCACTACTAGCGTGGTGCCGCCGCTGCTGGCCAACCTGCGCGGACCAGCGTTCTGGCTGCCGCGCAGCCACTGCACGGCCCAGCTGTGCGCATCGCTGGCTCTGGGTTCGGCCGAATGCGTCCTCCTGGCGGTGATGGCTCTGGACCGCGCGGCCGCAGTGTGCCGCCCGCTGCGCTATGCGGGGCTCGTCTCCCCGCGCCTATGTCGCACGCTGGCCAGCGCCTCCTGGCTAAGCGGCCTCACCAACTCGGTTGCGCAAACCGCGCTCCTGGCTGAGCGGCCGCTGTGCGCGCCCCGCCTGCTGGACCACTTCATCTGTGAGCTGCCGGCGTTGCTCAAGCTGGCCTGCGGAGGCGACGGAGACACTACCGAGAACCAGATGTTCGCCGCCCGCGTGGTCATCCTGCTGCTGCCGTTTGCCGTCATCCTGGCCTCCTACGGTGCCGTGGCCCGAGCTGTCTGTTGCATGCGGTTCAGCGGAGGCCGGAGGAGGGCGGTGGGCACGTGTGGGTCCCACCTGACAGCCGTCTGCCTGTTCTACGGCTCGGCCATCTACACCTACCTGCAGCCCGCGCAGCGCTACAACCAGGCACGGGGCAAGTTCGTATCGCTCTTCTACACCGTGGTCACACCTGCTCTCAACCCGCTCATCTACACCCTCAGGAATAAGAAAGTGAAGGGGGCAGCGAGGAGGCTGCTGCGGAGTCTGGGGAGAGGCCAGGCTGGGCAGTGAGTAGTTGGGGAGGGGAGAAAGTATTAAGCCAGAACCCAAGGATGGAAATACCCCTTAGTGAGTCAGTTTAGACTTCAGGCTGTTCATTTTTGTATGATAATCTGCAAGATTTGTCCTAAGGAGTCCAATGGGGGATATGTTTTCCTCCCGTGAGGAAATGTTTAGTTCTTGAGGGAAAAATCCCTAAATCCTCTATATACTCAGGTTTAGGGAAGGAAAACCTACCCCTCACAACTCCACGCGCAGGGAAAATGATGGACGTGACGCTCGCCTTTAGCTTCCTCCCTATCTGATGGAAGACCATGGAAGACCTCTTGGTCTCTGCAATCAGAAGTCTCAAGTTGACAAGAAAATCATAGTCCCTACCCTGCAGGAGAGGGTACATCCAGAAAAAGCGACCATGGACTCTATTCTCAGAAATCAGTCCAACTTAGTGCAGACCTGGCCAGATGACCAGTGCCCTCCCCGGGGCATTTCACCCATAAATGTGATGAGGAAAGCCCATAAATGGTGGTGAATTTTGCTGAGTGGGGTTAAGACTGGAAACCCCCCTGCAGGAGTTGGTTCTTGAGCAAGTTTTAAAGAAACAAGGAACTAGGATGAGTGTGGAAGAAGGCGGGCACGTCTCAGCCCGTGAAAAAAACTCACAGGTGATCAGTAGTGAGTCATGAGAGAGAGAGCAAGAGAGAGAGTCAGAGAGAGGAGTAAATGGAGGGAGGAAGATGGAGGAAGGGACTCAAGTTCTCAAGACAGGAACAGGGATCTCCTCGTGAAAAAAAGAAGAGAGGAAAATGCTCAATCAGCAGAACCTGAGCAGAATATTGAGGTCAACCCAGAAGCCAGCTCCTCACCCACCCTCACCCAGACTGGCGCCCTCATCCTGGAGAAGACCTGCTAGACCCTAAGGCAGGTAGGAGAGAGGGTGGTCCACAGTCCCCCAGCTTTAGAAAGTTTGTTCGCTCCCAATGTCCATCTACCCCTAGGAATCCCCACTAGTTAAACAGAATTGCTAGATCCCTGTGGAAAATACCTTTCCTTGCCCACCATCATCCCCAGAAATAATAACTATTTTAGTTGGGTGTGAGACATAGAGAATAAAAGGGGGCATGGTGCCAGACTTCATTTCATACAAATAGCTTTAAAGGAGAAGAGGGGGGAAGGAGTTTAATTTAGTTTCTAAAATGTTTAGTAATTTGATTGTGATCATGTCAGAGCAACTAATTCATTTTATAAAATATCATTTCACTATGCTCTATAAGTAGAAATTCAATTTGGTTCAACCATTATTGAGTGATATAAATAAAGCACTGGACTTAACAAAGACAGAAATACAGAAATCAGTAGAACATGGATCCCAACCTAAAACTTACTCTCTTGTCATAAAGGAAAGGAGATAGGAGTTTTTGCATAAATAACAAGGTATCAAGACAGAATTAAATTCCAAGCTGGCTTTGAATGCTCTATTTTGCCTTAAAAATTTATTTACTAGTCTCAGTAATACATTAGTAAAAATCATGTCACTTAATTAATTGTGTTAGAATCAAAGAAACATAGAGTTGGGCAATATACTTCATCCTACCCATCCCACCCAAATCTTACTCTACTCATCTCATTCTCATTAATTTTGGGAAATCATCAGAAGATGTGTTCGTTGAGTAAGAGATTAAAAGAAATAAGCTTTTTGACCCCTGCCAACACCCCATCCCCAGGGTGGTCACCCTCCAATACAATAAGATGCCAGGAAGAGTAAGTTGCCCTTTCTGATGCCGTAATCTGCCATCATCTTCCCATCTTCCAGTCTCTTTCCATTGCAAGTCACAATCTGGGTCTCAGGGATTATACCCGTCTTAGTCTCGATCATTGCTTTCACTTGTGCCACTGAGCTGGACCTTCGCACCTGGAGGAGGTGCCTCTTTGCCTCATCACCTGACTCCACAAGAAACAAGGGCAGCTCCTCATCACTGGGCTTCACCACTTTCAGGGTAAGGTGGATGGTCTTCTCTTTGTCAGTGCCATAAGATGAGAGGCTTCTCCGTGGCTTTAAGATCTTGGAGCCCAGCAAAAGAACCTGGTCCTGCACAGGAACCTTGGTCTTAGACCGGACATGTTCTTTGATTTTTTTCACGCTGTCATATGGGTTGGCATCAAAGGTCATTAAATCCCATTCCTCGGAACGGACATGCACCTGGGAAGTGAAAGCCACAAGACAGTTACCTAGGATGCCTTCCTCCTTTACACTTCTACTCCCCACCACAATGGCTCCCCCTCTTCCACTATCTATCTGGTCCTCTAGCTCCTATTCAGTAGCCAGTGTCCCTCTCTTTCTTGGAACTTCTTTTTTGGAATTACCAAGTTACAACACAAATAAGATAATTTGTCCCATTCCTTTATAATCACACCTTTTTTTCGATCTTGAGAATGGAAAATAAAATCCTGAGCCCCCAACCAACTGAACGGACGCTCTTTTGCTCAGGGGGACCCTAGAGAAACTTTAAAAACTTAGTCATTGGGCCAAGGGTGGTGGCTTACACCTGTAATCCCAGAACTTTGGGAAGCTGAGGCAGGCTGATCAATTGATGCTGGGAGTTCGAGACCAGCCTGGTGAACTTGGTGAAACTCTGTCTCTACTAAAAATACAAAAATTAGCCAGGCGTGGTGGCAAGTCCCTGTAATCCCAGCTACTCAGGAGGCTGAGGCAGGAGAATCATTTGAATCCAGGAGGCAGAGGTTGCAGTGAGTGGAGATGGCACTACTGCACTCCAGCCAGGGCAACAGAGTGAGACTCTGTCTCAAAAATATAAATAAATAAAACATTCAGTCATGATGGAACAGGAGGTTGGATATGCCTCATTGTATCTTCTCCCTTTTGCAGTTTAGACACAACTGACCAGCAAAGTTAGAGATTATAAGACTGAGAGAATGGATTCTTTGTGGCAATAAGATAGCAAATTATAAACAAGACCGAGGGCTATAACAGGCAAAAGTTAAGTCATGCATCCCTTACACTTAAAGAATAAACTATGTTCTGCCACAAAGTTTTTTCTTTTTTCTCTAGCAGCTAAACAAGCACTGGCCTTGACAGGAACAATATTAAAACAATTACAGCTCACCCTGTGTTGGGGAACACAGGCTAACTGACCCCGTGTTCCACAAGCCATAACTACAGTTTTAATTGGACAAAAGACTGATTTCAGTAATTTTCTCCTGATAAGAGACCACTGACCATGGACTGGTTCTGGCTAGTTTACAGAAGCTGTGCATTTGAATGCCTTTGTGTCCCTGCTTCACCTTTTCATGTATAAGGCCTAACTGTAATGCAATTAAATGTTAAGTCTCCACTTCAGAGTGACCATGGGTGGTATGTAACATGCAAGCTTATTCAATATGCATGCATTAGGACCCCCTCCATGAATATTCATTGCCTCTGCTATAACCTATTGGATATGTATACTTAGCAAACCCCTTCAGCATAAATTCCTGTGTCACCTTTCCTCCTGCAAAGTGCTTGCTTTTGGTTTTCAATCAGAAGCAAAACTTCCCAGCCTGTCAGAATGGCTACCTTGCAGACTATAACCTTTCATAAGAAATAAACTCCCCTTCTAAATTTATGAATTGTGTGATTTTTTTTTAGTTGACAATCTTTACATTTCGTTTTTCTGTGCATTTCAATGGATGTAAAAAACATACCTTTATCCATCTCAAAATGTAATTAGTGATTTTCCACCTTATTTACCTGCCTCTCCTATCCAGATAAAGTTTGTCAAATGTCAACAAGTAAATACGAGGCTTCAAAAGATGTACATCAGACTCTAAAAACAACTCTCAAAGAGAATTTCCAAAATATGACAGCCTCATGAAGATACTCATAGCCATAGGATACCCTCTGTCAATACTTCAGAAGGAAATCCTGGGTAGGACACATAATCACTGAACTGTTAGTTTCTTTTCAAATATCCCACTGCTTTATAATAATAACTCACATACTACCGTGACACTATGTTCAGTGTTTCTTGTTAATTTATATTTCTTGTGTTTTTATTTCTATCTAATGAGAGACAGGACTAGCTGGATTTCCTAGGCCGACTAAGAATCCCTAAGCCTAGCTGGGGAGGTGACTGCATCCACCTTTAAACACGGGGCTTGCAACTTAGCTCACACCTGACCAATCAGGTAGTAAAGAGAGCTCACTAAAATGCTAATTAGGCAAAAACAGGAGGTAAAGATATAGCCAATCATCTATTGCCTGAGATCACAGCGGGAGGGACAATGATCGGGATATAAACACAGGCATTCGAGCCAGCAACGCTACCCTCTTTGGGTCCCCTCCCTTTGTATGGGAGCTCTGTCTTCACTCTACTAAATCTTGCAACTGCACTCTTCTGGTCTATGTTTCTTACGGCTCGAGGTGAGCTTTCGCTTGCCATCCACCACTGCCGTTTGCCACCGTCGCAGACCCGCGGCTGACTTCCATCCCTCGGATCTGGCAGGGTGTCCGCTGTGCTTCTGAACCAGTGAGGCGCCCATTGCCGCTCCTGATTGGGCTAAAGGCGTACCATTGTTCTGCACGGCTAAGTGCCCAGGTTCTTCCTAATCGAGCTGAACACTAGTCACTGGGTCCACGGTTCTCTTCCGTGACCCATGGCTTCTAATAGAGCTGTAACAACCACCACATGACCCAAGATTCCATTCCTTGGAATCCATGAGGCCAAGAACCCCAGGTCAGAGAACACGAGGCTTGCCACCATCTTGGAAGCGGCCTGCGGCCATTTTGGAAGCAGCCCACCACCATCTTGAGAGCTCTGGGAGCAAAGACCCCCTGGTAACACTAATATAGAATGTGATCTCCTTTGATAAGACTAGGGCCTCACTCACAGAAGGTAGGGACTATATCTAAGTCTTACTTCAATAGCTGGAAAATCCTAAAAGATGGGAAAACTCACCCCTAATGGCCACTTGAAAGCCTGAGAAGACCTCCCTCATACTCCATTCAGAAATATTCTCCCAATCTAGATATTGCAGACATTTCTTCACTGGAAGATCTGTGTTAAGCATTGCCTTAATTCCAGGTTCTCTCCATAGTGCATATTTTCTTATATAATGTAATGTGTTAGATCATTAACAACTTCAGATGAATGAGTTTTGTGAAGCTCTCCTTTGAGAGGAGAGGGAAGATTAAGTTTAAGAACCTTAAAAAATGTTACCATAATTTCAAATCTCACCAGCCCTGTGGAACACAAAGCTCACCCCCACTTTTTCTTCTACCATTTATCCCTAAGAGTAGCTAGTCCAATGTTTTATTTAAAAAAGAACACAGAAGCCAGATAACCAGCTTCTCTTCAGACAATCCCTCTTCCCATTCTGCAAATGTCAATGCCAGCCTCTTCTCCTGAAGGATGCCTGCCCAGCCCCCCAGAGCCCTGAGTACTGCCCAGCCCCCGTTTCTAAGATCTCTCCCCAACTCTTGAAAGTGCTTTTCCTTTCCCCATCCCCTTTATCAAATCCCAACTTACACAGAGGCAGGAAGCATTGGGAGCCATCTCTGCAGACAAGGGGCCAGAAACCAGAGACAGAAAAAGGACTTTGCATGCAGCTTATATACCAGAGTTGAGTTGGAAATCCCCTGCCTGGATTGCTGTGTTTGTCCAGCTTTGCTGTGCTCTTTGTTCTTGCATGCTCCCATGAATTTTCTTTCACTTTTGCTGGGCAGGAGTTAATAGACAAAGAATGCTTTCTGATCACATACTTCTCTCCTCAAGCAATCTATTTGCAAACCTCATTCCAAACATGGGATGGTCTTTCTGTGTTGAAAACTTTTCCCTTTTCTCAGGAAAGATCTTTGTCTGTTGAAGCCACCTGGATCTATACCCACAGCCCAAACCTAAGCTGCAGATCTCTATGTCTAGCTGTGTCTGTGTCTATGGGAATTCTCGTTCCTTGAATTCCCGGCATATCCTTGAACACCCCAATCTCTCTGCCATCTCCACGCCACTGAGCATGCCTTTTCCTCCAACTCTATCCCCACCACCATGAATTTATAAGAACACACGGTGTAAACAGTATCTTCGTCAAAAAGCCTTCCCTAACTCTTTTCCTCCCCATCCTGGGTTATGTGTCCATCTTCTATCCTCTACACTTCCTTCAAATGCCTCTCAGAGCATGTTTCTTCAACAATAGCATCGTCTGCTTGTCTGTAATCTTTAGAAAAGAGTAGGAATCTTGGGGGTCGTGATTGTGTCTTAATTAACTTGTATCTTTAGCACTGTTCCAGCATGCTGTCAGGCACAGGAAATAATTTATAAATGTTTACTAAATGCACAAATGAATTAATAAATGAATGAAAAGTAAGTAAATAACAAAAAAAGGAAAAGTAATATTTAGTGAGTACTTAAATTTCAAGAACTGCACAACATATTATTAAATGTTACCTTATTTACTGTTTCAGCATTTTAATGAAGTAAGTACAGGTGCTCCTTCACTTATGATGGGGTTACATCCCTGTAAACCCATTGTACACTGAAAATATCCAAAATCAGAAATGCATTTAATACACCTAACCCACCAAACATCATAGCTTAACCTAACCTGCCTTAAACATGCTCAGAACACTTACATTAGCATACAGTTGGACAAAATTATCTATCAAAAAGTGTATTTACTACTGAAGTGTGAAATATCTCATTTAAGTTATTAAATACTGTACTGAAAGTGAAAAGCAGATGATTTTATGGGAACTTGAAGTAGGTTTCTACTGAGTATGTATTGCTTTGGTATCACTATTAAATAAAAAATCATAAATGGAATCATTGTAAGGAACCACCTCTATTAGTATCCCCGTTAATAAGTAAGAAGCTACCTCATCCACAATCATATTAGTAGTAGCTGGTAAGCAAGGGTTCAAACACTAATCTGTATTTCTATAGTCCTTGTATTCTTCCTATATTATTATGTTATTTCAGTGGGAAAAGGCAGGGAGAAAAGTGCTACTGGAGTTGGGTATTTCCAGCATGGGGTTACTGTGAGGGCAAATCTAATATACTCTCAGAAAAAACTAATTCAGGGGATTCCCTACCCAGAGATGACCTGGATTCTGGGAAATAGTGCCCTTTCAAGAAAACATATGAACAACAAACCTGGACTCTGACCTCTCTCTCTCTCTTTACTCTTCCCTTCCTATGGGAAATTCCCTCCCTGCCCAAAGCCAGGGCCAGGACTGTCCCAGACACCTTGGTGCCCCTTTGCTGACCACAGGCAGGACTTCATCTTGGGACCTGACCTCCTTGCTTCTTACCCAGTGTCAATCTGACTTTTTTCTGTCTCTCTCTATGTCACAATAAGTTCTTTCAGAGACAGATCTCTTTTCATTTGCTGTTTTAGTCTCTTTTGCATACTATAAAGGAATACTTGAGGCTGGGTAATTTATAAGGAAAAAAAGTTTAATTGATTCATAGTTCCTCCAACTATACAAGAAGAATGGCACCAGCATCTGCTTCTGGTGAGGCCTCAAGAAGCTTTTACTCATGGTGGAAGGTGAAGGAGAGCAGGCGTGTCACATGGCAAGAGAGGGAGGTAAGAGACAGTGGGAAAAATGCCAGGCTCTTTTAAACAACCAGCTCTCTTGTGAGCTAATGGAGTGAGAACTCATTTATTACAATGATGACAGCCCCAGGCCATTCATGAGGGATCTGCCACCACAACCCAAACATCTCCCAGTGGGCCCATTTCCAACACTGGGGGTCACATTTCAACATGAGATCTGGAGAGTACAAACATCCAAACTACATCATTTACCCCTCTGACAAATTCAGAAAACCAGCTAAAGTGTCAGAGGTGTTTGAACCAGAGCAACTCCATCTTGAATAGGGGCTGGATAAAATAAGGCTGACATCTACTAGGCTGCATTCCCAGGAAGTTAGGCATTCTAAGTCACAGGATGAGAGAGGAGATCAGCACAAAGTACAGGTTATAAAGACCTTGCAAATAAAAGGAAGCAGTAAAGAAGCCAGCCAAAACCCACCAAAACCAAGATGGCAACGAAAGTGACTTCTGGTCATTCTCACTGCTCATTATATGCTAAATAAAACATTAACATGCTAAAAAATATTCCCACCAGGGCCATGGCAGTTTACAGATGCCATGGCAATGTCCAGAAGTTACTCTATATGGTCTAAAAAGAGGAGGAACCCTCAGTTCCAGGAATTTCCCACTTCTTTCCTGGAAAACTTGTGAATAAGCCACCCCTTGTTTAGTATATAATCAAGAAATAACCATAAAAATAGTCAACCAGCAGCCCTCAGGGCTGCTCTGCCTATAAAGTAGCCATTCTTTTTTTCCTTTACTTTCTTAATACGCTTGCTTTCAGTTTACTCTATGGATTCACCCTGAATTCTTTCTTGTGCAAGATCCAATAACGCTCTCTTGGGGGCTGGATCAGGATCCCTTTCCAGTAACAAAAGTAAAAAGATGATGGTATGAAGATCTTGCCAAGTTATAAAACAATTGTGGCGGTTATCTACGAGTGTCCCAATGTGGCCCTGGCTGACGGGATGCTCTTGGGCCTGTCACTGCCCCCATTGAAGCCTACTTGAAGCCTACTTGGAACAGATGTCTCTTTCTAGTCTCTTTAATAACGTCCATGAAAGAGTTTCTAAACTGCTTTGAGATCTAGAATATTGCTTCAAAAATGCCAGCCAAACTCAGTCAGAAAGCTAGTGTGAATTCTCATTTATTGGTGATTGGGAAAAAAGTCTACACTCAAAGAAGAACAGTTTGAAAATACCTACCAAAATTTAACATGGACATACCAAACCAAGACAACCAAATGCCTATCAGTATTAGGGAAATAGGTAACCAAATTGTAGAATATCATAAGCAGCATAAATAGAAGGATCATACCTGCAAACAACGATACAGATGAATGTGCTAGAACCTATTGAGTGAAAAAAGTGTTAGAAACAAATGCTTATTCCACGGTGCCGCAAAGAAATAGCACTCAGACATAAATTCAATTTTCTCAGCAAGGAATTTTTACTTCTATAGAAGGGTGTGACTCGCGGATGGAGTAATGGCAAGAGCATACCTGGACAAGGGAGGGGAAGGAGTTCTTATTCCTGAGGCAGGTAGCCCCTACTGCTGTGTCGTTCCCCTATTGGCTAGGTTTGGACCACACAATCTAAGCTAATTCCGATTGGCTATTTTAAAGAGAGCAGGGGTATGAGCCAGAGCGGCAGGGTGGGTAGTTTGGTGGGAAGGGTGGTTACAGAACAGGTGACTCAGGATGATTCAAATCAAAGCAGGTGGCCGAGGGTGACTCCGGATGGAGCAGGTGACCAGGGGAACAGATATGAACCACTGATTAGAACTGACAGGAAAGTTGTTTACTGAAACTAGAGGCAAGAGGGTGAAGAGAACCCGGAAGCTCAACTTTCAAATGGAGAATCAAAGAATAAGAGAGATGAATATGCTGACATACTGATTCTTTGAAGAGAATCTTGGAGTTCACTATATCTAACAAAAGCAAGATGAGTAAGACTACATAAAGTATGATACTCTCCATAAATCTCAAAAGCAAGCAAAACTACATAGTGAGACAGAGAAAAAGAGGAACTACTTGAAATTCAGGATATGTCTGCTTTTTAACAAAAATGAAGCCCAATCTAAATTTTGATATAAGCTACTTGAAGGAGATTTTCAACAGGAAGTAAGAGGGCATTAGAAGCCCTGATATTATTTCATCTTGCCATATTCAGAATCTGAAGTTTAACCAAGAGAACTTAATGTTTGTTAAAGCAATTTATTACTTGAGAGACATACCGTATATTCACTTTATTAAAGGTAAAGTAATAATATCTAAAACAAATGTTCCAAAGAAAACTAAACATAAGCAAAACTGAATATAGTATCTAGAACTACATATGTAAGCAATAAGGCTCTTATAAAAATGTAAAAACCATGAGTGTTCATTATGCTACTATTATGTTTTATAGTGTTACATTATATTATTCTATATGGGTTACATTTATTTATCTGTAGTATCAAAGATTATAATAAAAATATAATTTAAAATTTTTCATGTTCATATCCTCTAGCTCAGCAATTCTGCTTCTAGGAACTTATCCTATTAGTACTCTTTTGGTTTTTTTTTAAGGAGTATCACTCTTGCCTCCCAGCCTGGAATGCAATGGCGCGATCTCGGCTCACTGCAACCTCCGCCTCCTGGGTTCAAGCGATTCTCCTCCCTCAGCCTTCTGAGCAGCTGGGATTGCAGTCATGTGCCACCATGCCTGGCTATTATTTATTTATTTATTTATTTATTATTTTTATTTTTAGTAGAGATGGGGTTTCAGCATGCTGGCCAGGCTGGTCTCGAACTCCTGACCTCAGGTGATCCACCTGCCTCCGCCTCCCAAAGTGCTGGCATTACAGGTATGAGCCACCATGCCTGGCCCTATTAGTACACTTATATATGTGTGAAATAAGCCATGTACAAGAATATTCATGTGAAATAATTATTTGCAACTGAAATAAATGGGAACAACACTTATCAATAGACAACTAAATAAGTGCTGGTGTATACAGTTGAATTAAATTTAAAAGCCAAGTTGCAAAATATATGTATAATATTTTGTTATTTAGAAAGGAAGAAAATATACACATATGCTAAAATGTGCATACAACATCTCTGTGAGGAGACACTGACTCTGCAAGTTGCCTGAGGAGCAGGAATGAGAGGTGGACTATTCATTATATGTCTTATCTTATTATTGTTGCTATTTTTTAGTTTTGCAACTGTGCATGTTTTACACATTCAGATAGGCAGATAGTATGGGAAGGGATAGTATATTTTTTATGTAGTCATCAGCTCAGAATGGAGCTGGCTATAAGCTATGCACCAATGGGAACCAGTTTCAGTGCTCATCACTAGTTGACAGGCAAAGGGCCATGAAAAGTTGGTGGCTATAGTAGGTTAACTATTGTGATTCTGTGCCTTCCCTACTCCCCAAAATTTATTTTCCACTAATCTTTTACATACTGCAAAATTTAGAAACATTGATAATATAGCCCATAATATATCTGAAAGCAAAGAAATTTATAATTAGCTAAAATCAGAGACCAAACCTAATGAAAAAAAAAAAGTAATTCTGAGACAATTGCTGAGCCTGGTACATGGGACTGATGTCAATGTGCAAAAATTGTCCAACCTGACAAAGCAACTGGAATAACTAATGCAGTCATAAGTGCAGGATGATGTGTTGACCAATGGCGCATTTCCACTTTGTAGCAGTCAGGCCATCTTGGAGTGAATCCAGGCTCTGCCTCCTACTTCTCATGCAAGTTATTTGGTACTTTCTTCTGTCAGCTGGGGATTTCGGATTTCACTTAGGATTAGGCTCTGCTACCATTAACAGACATCTGAAAATAATGTGCCTTTAACTAAAACCCCAAAAGGACCAGATCTTAGAAGTCAAAATGACAACCAAGGCTTAAGGAGTTCACCCTAGAACCAAGAAAAAACTGCAATGATCCATTCCAGCAAAATGTAAAGCCAGTTTTTCAGAAGTTCAAAGTGATAAGTGGGTAATATATCTGCTTATTAAACAAGATTCAATACGCTTCAGAGAAAGATAATAGAATACAAAATAAAGGTAATAGAATACGGAATCTCTGTAACATATTACTCACATCATCAAGTGTAAAACAGGAAATCACCAATCATGTGAAGAAACAGAAATATTAGACAAACAGTTTTAAATCCTCAATAAAAACAAACCCAAACGCCACCGAAATGTTAGAATTATCAGATGGAGACTTTAAAATCACTATAGTATTTTAAAGAATCCACAGGGAAAGATTTATACAATGGGTAAAGAAATGATGAATTTTAGGAGACAGATGTAGAAACTGCCATTTTAAAAAGCCAAACGGAAATGCTGGAACTGAAAAATACAATATCGTTGACCCTTGAACAACAAGGGTTTGAACTGCATGGGTCCATTGAATGTAGATTTTTTTCAGTAAATATACTGGAAAATTTTGTACCTTTGTGACAATTTGAAAAAACTCGCAAACTTCATAGCTTAGAAACATCAAAATAATTAAGAAACAATTAGGCATATCATAAATGCATAAAACATACGTAGATACTAGCATACTTTATCATTTACTATAAAATATACACAAATCTATTATAAAAAGTTAAAATTTATTAAAACTCACACACAAATACTTATAAACAATCATAAAATACAGTATTAAATCATAACTGCGTAAAATTAGTCATAGTACATTCTGTCCTACTATAATAATTATGTAGCCACCTCCTGTTACTATTGGGTGAGCTCAAGTGTTGGGAGTATGGGATTAAAATGTCATGTAATACTAATCATTCCCACGTAAGCAGTTCGTCTTCTCTTTAGGAAAAAGTGATGTCTCACGGTTCTTGCGGTTGTCCTGTTTTTGTTTTGTTTGTTTGTTTATTACAGAGTTTTGCTCTGTCGTCCAGGCTGGAGTGCAGTGGCACGATCTCAGCTCACTGCAACCTCTGCCTCCCGGGTTCAAGTGATTATCCTGCCTCAGCCTCCCAAGTAGCTGGGATTAGAGGCATGCACCACCACGCCTGGCTAATTTTTGTATTTTTAGTAGAAACGTTCTTTGGTTCAAGACGGCCAGGCTGGTCTTGAACTCCTGACCTCAAGTGATCCACCCCCCTCGGCCTCCCAAAGTGCTGGGATTACAGGTGTGAGCCACCGCACCCAGGATCTTGTGTATTTTTAATTGTGTTTAGTGCAATTCCATAAAGCCTGAATAACACCACGAGACCCATATAGTGATGCTGGAAGTTTTCCCTGGAGACAGAGAAAAGCCATAACATTACAGGAAAAAGTTGAATTGCTTGATATGTGCTATAGATTGAGGTCTGCTGCTGCAGTTTCCTGCCATTTCTGACTGATGTTTCATCTCTTAACAGATGACACAAACTTACATAATTGATAAATACGGTATTGTACTGTCAGTGTATTTTCTCTTCCTTATAATTTTCTTAATAACATTTTCTTTTCTCTGGCTCATGTTATTGTAAGAATACAGTATATAATACATACAACATACAAAATATGTGTCAGTCAACTGTATATATGATCAGTAAGGCTTCTGGTTAACAGTAGTTTATTAGTAGTTAAGGTTTAGGGGAGTCAAAAGTTATTCATGGATTTCCAAATGTATGAGGGGGTCAGCACCTCTAACCCACGCATTGTTCAAGGGTCAGCTGTATACAACTTTCTGGTAAAAAGAACCAGGAGTCCTTGGAGAGATGGTTGATCCCAGACAGAGGAAAGAGAACATACAAGATAACCCTGGAATACTGTATGATGCCAGAAACTAAAGAAGTCATTAAAAAAAAAAATGAGGACACATCAAAAAACTCACAGTAATCACGTTAAAGGATTTCCCCATAGCCAAGTCTGGGAAAATGTAAACAGCAAAGTAAATAATGAGAATAATGAAGAAAGAATAAAATAAACATCCAGGAGTCATTACTGGATATGAATAAAGAAAATAAACAGTAAACGAATAGGAGGAGAGGGACAGCTCTTACAAAATTCAAAATAACAAACATAGGAGAAATGATGAAAGTTATCATTAGGCAAACAGCCCAATAGTAATTGTTACAGTCAAAACTCATTTGTGGATGCTAAAATTAGTAGGCAAAACTATAATGAGAAAAAGATACTTGCATAATCTCAAAGTATTACCATAAACACTTATTATGTTACTTATATTATTATAAGATATGACTACAGTTTTAATAAGACAACACAGTTAAAAAAATGAAAAATAATTTGAATAAAAGACACGTAAGGACCAATAAAGCACATGATAAGATGTTTAACACCATTAACCATCACAGAGCAAATTGAAACGACTTGAGGGAGCACTTCACAGCCGATAGAATGCCTAAAACCAAGAGACTGACAATTCCAAGTATTACCAAGGATGTGGAACATCTGGAACTCTCATCGCTGTAGGGAGTGTAAATGGCACAATCACTCTGGAAAGCAGTTTAGCAGTTTCTTATAAAGATAAACAGACAGCAAATGACTCAGAAATTCCAATTCTAGGTATTTACCCAAAATAAAGAACACATGTGTTCACACAAAGAACGAAGAACCATATACAACACAACTAACTGTTCTCTCCTTCTTCTTCTTCTTCTTCCTCTTCCTCTTCCTCTTCCTCTTCCTCTTCCTCTTCTTCTTCTTCTTCTTCTTCTTCTTCTTCTTCTTCTTCTTCTTCTTCTTCTTCTTCTTCTTTTTTTCGGACCCAGGCTGTTGTGCAGTGGCATGATCATGGCTCACTGCAGCCTCAACTTCCTGGGCTCAAGTGATCCTCCCACCTCAGCCCCCCAAGTAGCTGAGACCACAGGATGCACCACGATGCCCAGCCAATATTTTGTATTATTTTGTAGAGACAGGGTTATATCATGTTTCCCAGGCTGGTCTCAAACTCCTGGGCTCAAGTATCCTCTCACCTTGGCCTCCCAAAGTTCTGGGATTACAGGTGTGAGCCACCATACCCAACAATTGTGGCTTCTTTCATAGCAGCCCAAAACTAGAAACAACCCAAATGCCCATCAATGCATGAATGGATAAACTGTGGTATATTTATACAGTGAAATACTATTAGCAATAAAAAGGAGCAAATTACTAATATATGAAACACTATGAATGAATTTCCATAACAAGCCGGATAACAGAAGCCAGAAATAAGGCATGAAGCCAGGCATGGTGGCTCATGCCTGTAATTCTAGCATTTTGGGAGTCCAAGGTGGGTGAATCACTTGAGCCCAAGAATTCGAGACCAGTCTGGGCAACACAGCGAGACCCTGTCTCTACAAAAAGTACAAAACTTAGCCGCGTGTGGTGGCCTGCACCTGTAATCCCAGCTACTTGGGGGGTTGAGTCCAGGAGGTTGAGGCTGCAGTGAACTGTGATCACACCACTGCACTCTAGCCTGGGTGACAAAGTAACACCTTGTCTCAAAAAACATAAAAAAAGTAAATTTCATTGAAGTACAAATTACGGGTAATAAAATGCACACATTTTAAGTATATTGTTCAATAAGTTTTGACAAGTGCATACACTTGGATAACCAATACCCCATTCAAGATATAGAGCATGCATTTTCATTATTCTAGAAAGTTATCCTATGCCCTGTCCCAGACAACCAATCATCTGATTTCTATCTTGCTAGATTTGCTTTTCCTGTTGTAGGAAAGTTATGTCAATGAAATCAGGTGGTATGAATGTATGAATGCTTGCTTGCTTGCTTTTTTTTTTTTTTTTTTTTTTGAGACAGGGTCTCACTCTGTCACCCAGGCTGGAGTGCAGTAGTGCAGTGGTGCAATCACGGCTCCCTACAGCCTTGACCTCCTAAGTATATTGAACAATATACTTAAAATGTGTGCATTTTATTACATGTAAATTCTACCTTAAAGAAGTTTATTTTATTTTATGTTTTTTTGAGACAAGGTCTGACTCTGTCACCCAGGCTAGAGTGCAGTGGCATGATCACAGCTCACTGCAGCCTCAATCTCCTAGGCGCAGGTTATCTTCCCAGCTCAGCCCCCCAAGGAGCTGGGACTACAGATGAAGGCCACCACACCCGGCTAAGTTTTTGTACTTTTCGTAGAGACAAGGTCTTGCTATGTTGCCCAGACTGGTCTCGAACTCCTGGGCTCAGGTGATCCATTCCTCTTGGCCTCTTAAAGTGCTGGGATTACAGATGTGAGCCACCATGCCCAGACTGAAGTTGATTTTAAAAGCAGAAATGAGCTACTGATACTTGAAACAACATGAATAAATTGCAAAATAATTACTCCTAGTGAAATAATTCTTACTCAAAGGAGTATATATTATTCCATTTGTATGAAGTCCTAGAAGAGGCAAAACTAAGTATCAAGGAAAGAGGCAAGTGGAAGGTTTGTAGGATGATGGAAATCTTCTGTTTCTTCATTGAAGTCATCAAAATTCATCAAAGCGTATATTTCAAATCTGTGCATTTTATTGCATGTAAATTATATCCAAATGTCTACCAGTAGAGAAGAAACAAGAAATAACGAAGTCTTACATGGGTTCAAATGAGACTTGAGAGAAAAGAATGGGACACACTCAGGAGAGGTGGCAATGAGAAAACATGACCTTGTGCTCCTCAATGACACAGAGGAGCAGAAGTGACCTTTTTACTTACCACAGGGAGCACCAATGCTGGCACGTTTCCTCTGAATCATCTCCTTCTTTCTTAATCATCATTAGCACCAGTGGCTAATTAATTGTCTGTGAACTGTGACGCTCTGGAGTCTTGGGAGAATTAACAAGCCATTTCTCTCCATGGGATGGGAGTCCCGGGATCCCTCCCTCCATCACTTCACCACGTTTTCTTCTCTATCTCCACTACCATTAAAAGAGAGGTTAACTTACTAGGTTGAAGAGGAGAGGTTGTGGGCAAAGAGCAACCTTCAGCCTTACAGGTCCAGAAGAAGGATGGTGGTGGGGTATAGTTTGTGCCTGACTCTAGAGCCAACCCACCTGGGTTCAAGTCTCAGCTCTGGCTATATAATTCTGAGCTAATTATTTAACCTATGTTTTAGTTTCTTCATCTGAAAATAAATATAGAATATAGAAATATTATCCAGGTCATACAGAGGTTGTGAAGTGCTTTGAAAGGTGTGGCAGCAGCATTAGAAGTCAACATTACTACCTGAGCCCTAATCCACCACCCTTTCAAAGGTGCCCAACACTCCTGACTTTGCTTGTAGATTTCATTGTGAGGATTAACTAGAGGCTCACTCAGTCTAGAAGCTCGTTGTCAGGGAGAAGCTCCGGCAGCAGGCAATGGGGAGATTGTGACATGATTGAGGAAAAGTTATAAGTTTATTCTTCTCCTACTGTCCATTAATGTCCACATATCGTCAATGGTAGAGCTACCCCAGGAGCACCAGATTTGGAATCAAACAGGACTCAGACTCCAGGCCTGGTCTTCATCGGCTATGTAACCTTGGGCAAGCTACTTAACCTCTCTGCGACCATTTCTTCTTCTGTAAAAGGAAGATGATATTAACTACCTCAAAGAGTTATGAGAACCAGGTATTCAGGAAATGTTTAGCATGGTGCCTGGTGTATAGGAAGCACACAACAGATGGTAGCTGCCAAAGTATTAACGTGGTTTTCACTAATGAATTGGAGAAAAGAATTGATATTTCATTCCCTTGTAGCACCTAGTACACAACTAGGTCTTTGGTGATTAATAAAGAAATAAATACATCCGTGAATATGAAATTAATAGGAAGAGAGTAAAGTTGTACTGGACTTTTGTGGGTGTCCAAGAAAAATTAAAAAGACCAGAAGAAAGAGAGTGAGAACAAATACACGTTGTGAAACACAGAACAAGAGAGAACAGAAAGAGAGTCAAAGAACTATGTAAATTGAAGAGACTGAAAAATGACATAGAGTGAAGCAATGAATTACCAAGAGTATAAGAGTGTAAGAGAGGGATGCAGAAAGTGTATTAGAATGATGGTTGACAGATAAATAAGGAGGAGTTGGCTATTTTTTACCAACACAAAGGGTGTAATGTTATAAGACAATATAGGAATGATTTTGTAAAAGTAATAATTGAAATAGTCATTGCGTCTTCAGGAGTAGGTAGTAGGTATGATTAGGGAAGGGCACGCAGAAGGCTTTTAAGATTTAAACAATCTTTTGTTAAAATATTCAACAATATTTTAAAGGAAAAATTTTTCTCAGAGTAAAAAGAATATAGGAGGAAGAAAACGAAAAAAGAGACAAATATAAACAGGTTGAACAAATAAAAAGATGAGATGGGGCTTTTAAACACACAAAAAAGAGACACTGCAATGGGTAGATGCTGCCAACCTATAGCCTCTCCAGCCACCTCCCCATCAACTTGCCCAGTTCCTGCCTCTCAACTGCCAGAGTGGCTGCCACCGTCCACCCATATCTGAGTTGGCCCTGTGTGCTGAAACTCTCTTCACCTTCTCAAAAACACAGTCCCCTCCTCCAGGAAGCATTCCCTGATTCACTCAACCACCCTACTCATTTTCTTTACAGATCTATCTCTCACCTCTAGCCCCCTATCCCAATATTTTTGCCTTATTTGCCTGCAATGTTTCAAGTTTTCTGCTGATGTTGAATGTACTACCCAGGGTTTTTCAAAGCCATGAGACTACTCTTTCTTCCAGCCCATAAACTCCTCCGCCTTGAATGACCACATTGTTCAATAATTTGAAGTAGACTCCTTACTTCAGTGACTTAGGATAGGCTACTAAAGAGGATAAAGTCAGACCTGACATCTAAGTACAATATGTGACTCTCAACTGGATCCTACGTGGAAAAAAAAAAATCCTACAAAGAACATTATTGGGACATAGAGAAAATAAGAATATGGACTGTGTGTTACATAACAATACTGTATCAATTTTAAGTTTATTGAATTTAATTGCTGTACAGTGTTAATTAAGATCATCTTGTTGTAGAATATGAATACTAAGACAATAAGGAGAAAGAGGCATGATGTCCACAAGTTATTCCCAAGTGACTCAGAGTAAAAATGAAAATACATAAACATATTGAGTATAATGATAGTGAAAATGAGTAAAAATACTAAAAATTGATGAATTTGATAAAGGTTATATAGAAGTTCTTGGAACTACACTTGCAACTTTTCTGTAAGTTTCAACTTATTTCAAAATCAAAGGTTTTTAATTGCATGTGAATAAAATTAACCGAGCATTTTCAAAAGCAAAATTCTACTTACATGTCCCAAACTCAACATGGTATGTTTTTACTACTATATTTTATCTTACATGAAAAGGAGAGGATATTGAAATCTATTTCAGCTTTCTATCACCAAACATCAATTCTTCAGGATTTTTTTGCAGTTACAGAACCAGAAAATAATCTTTCTGACTGACATTATATTTTTTCTTATTTTTACATATTACACATAATGGAAAATTTAGGCAGGACATTTCATTTGCAGGAGAAATGTTTGTTCTTAGTTTAATAAGTCATAATTTTTTTTGAAAGACCTAAATCACCTGACTGATCTTTCTAGCAGTTGAGTCATTTCACATACAGAAGAAATCTCCACAGTCCACATTTCTATCACTGGTCAAATCTCTTGCAAAAGTGTAAAGTAGATAGAATGTGAATGATTTGAGAAAATTTATGCCCACCACTAGAAAACATGATGAATTCTCTAGTAATGTTTACAATTAGGAAACTCACTGAACACACATTTCTTTGTATTTCCTTCCACACATAACAAAGGGAAAATTCAGTAGTAGCATAGCGATCAGAACATAATAGGTACTTAATAAATTTTTGCAAAATTAATAAAAACTAACTAGTTAGCTGATCTATGCTTCACATCAGACGTTTTGCATTCAACCAGGAAGTCAGAGGCACCAGTGTGAGGCTCAATCCGTTGTTGAGCACATTAATGGTTTCCTCACTCCCACTAGACAATGTTTGATCAGAAGGAACAGGGGATGAGAAGGAGCTGCTTGATGGTGATGAGACTGGGAAAGGAACGCTGGGCGAGCAGAGACAAAAGAGAAACACTCACCTACTGGGACCTCACAAACACCCAGGCTGAGTTTTAATAAGACAGGTTGAATCACACTGGGGTGACAGCCTCATCCTTCCAGATACAGAGAGGAACAGGCCATGGTTAACCAAAGCTCCGCACCAGGCTTTCTCCTTCTGGGCTTCTCTGAACACCCAGCACTGGAAAGGACTCTCTTTGTAGTTGTCTTCACTTCCTACCTCCTAACCCCGGTGGACTCATCATCCTGCTGTCTGTGCTGGACCCCAGGCTCCACTCTCCAATGTACTTTTTCCTCTCCAACCTCTCCTTCTTGGACCTCTGTTTCACCATAAGTTGTGTCCCCGGGATGCTGGTCAACCTCTGGGAGCCAAAGAAGACCATCATCTTACTGGGCTGCTCTGTCCAGTTCTTCATCTTCCTGTCCCTGGGGACCACTGAGTGCATCCTCCTGACGGTGATGGCCTTTGACCGCTACATGGCTATCTTCAAGCCCCTGCGCCATGCCACCATCGTCCACCTCTGCCTGTGCTGGCAGCTGGCATCTGTGGCCTGGGTCATTGGGCTGGTAGAGTCAGTGGTCCAGACACCATCCACCCTGCGCCTGCCTTTCTGCCCCCATCAGCAGGTGGATGATTTTGTCTGTGAGGTCCCAGCTCTAATTCGACTCTCCTGTGAAGACACCTCCTACAATGAGATCCAGATGGCTGTTGCCAGTGTCTTCATCTTGGCTGTGCCTCAGCCTCATCCTTGTCTCTTATGGAGCCATTGCCTGGGCAGTGCTAAGGACTAACTGCAAAAGGGCAGAGGAAAGCTTTTGGGACCTGCTCCTCCCATCTCACTGTGGTCACCCTCTTCTACAGCTCAGTCATTGCTGTCTACCTCCAGCCCAAAAATCCCTATGCCCAAGAGAGGGGCAAGTTCTTTGGTCTCTTCTATGCAGTGGGCACTCCTTCACTTAACCCTCTCATATACACCCTGAGGAACAAGGAGGTAACCAGGGCATTCAGGAGATTGCTGGCGAAGGAAATGGGGCTCATACAAAGTTGAGGGAGAGCTGTTTAATGTGCTTTCTAAATTAAGAAGAAATTATTTATCCTTTTGTGAACAAGTTTGAGCTCCCAAGTATACTACCTTTCATACACCCATCACAGTGTTTACAATGGGTCACAGTATATGAGTGTGTGTGAGAGAGAGAAAGAGACAGAGAAAGACTAAGAGTCAGGTAAGAGGAGGTAGGTAACTTTAATTAACATCTAAAGCTCAAAAAGATTATCATACCTGCCCATTTTTAATATTTAATTTCTATATTTTTATTTTCTTTTCAATTTGGTTTTTAACTCTCTTCTCCCCTACAGGTTCTCCAAATGCACCATGCCTATTTCTGGTTATGTAACCCCTCTCCGATTGTTACATTATCATCATCATTTTACCATCACTTGTGATTCTTTTTTTTTTTTTTTTTTTTTTTTTGAGATGGAGTCTCACTCTGTCGCCCAGGCTGGAGTGCAGTGGTGCGATCTTGGCTCCCTGCAACCTCCGCCTCCTGGGTTCAAGTGATTCTTCTGCCCCAGCTTCCTGAGTAGCTGGGACTACAGGCACATGCCACCATGCCCAGCTAATTTTTTATTTTTAGTAGAGACGGGGTTTCACCATGTTGGCCAGGCTGGTCTCGAACTCCTGACCTCAGGTGATCCACCCGCCTCGGCCTCCCAAAGTGCTGGGATTATAGGAGTGAGCCACATCACCCAGCCACTTCTGATTCTGACAATGTCTTCTTTCCTTTGTCATCAGGATGGTTCATCTCCACTTGCTTGAGGTGGACTGACAGGAAGCTGACACTCAGAGAATTTAGTAATTTCACCCAAGAACACACAGCAATTTGTTAGACCTAAATTGAGATGCATATCTGTTAACTTACCAAGTGCATGCTGTTGGTTTTACACCATTATAAATATACCAACATCATTAGGATTTATACCCAAATGGGTTATCAGGCAGAAAACTCTATTTTTCCAGTCCTAGTAAGTTTTCTGATCATCCAGCTTTCCAGGGATCACAACACTAATCTCCTGCCAAATCCGGAAAATGTGCTCCCATTCCTGGAGATGATTTTCCTTTACCTCTTCTCAACCTCTGCATGACAGTGACCATGAGGAGTTGTGAGTCTGCTCTTCAGTGGCTACACAGTGCTAACAGCTGTCCTGCATCCATTTTCTAGTGCAGTTCTGAAATTCTGACCAACCTCTACTAGCCAGGCACAAACATGAAATCCAATTGTAAGTAATAAAGTGCTGCAATGGAGCCTGGATGGAGCAAGGGCCTCAGAAAAAAGGGAGCAGCAGTGTAAGCCCCAACTTCTATGAAATCTTATTTCCTTTTTCAAGTTGATCTACATTCATTACATTCTCAAAGCCTCACATGAATGGAATGGAGAGTGTGATGGAAAAATCTGTTTAGAACTGAACCATTCTCTCCTCTTTCCTGTCAGGAAAGAGGTTATGCTGTGATAACAATACCAATCCTCAGTGACTTGAAACAGCATAGGTTTATTTCTTGCTGCTGCTGCATGCCCATTGTCATCCAACCAGAGGTTCTGCCTTGTCATCTTCACCCAAAGATGTGGACTGACAGAACACCCACCATCTCAAACACTCCTAGGTGCTGGGAAAGGAGGAAATAATAAGCATGACAAATGGCAAACTAGCACTTAGTTTCCAATCGGAAGTGGCATAACACTTTGACTCATTGGTCATTTGCCAAAGCAAATCTCATGGCTACATATAACTTCAAGGTGAGGGGAAATAAACCAATCATGTGGCAGGAAAGGGAACCAGAAATATTTGGTGGATGATATGAATGACTACTAACTGGCTCTTTGCCTCCAGTCTTGACCGATTGAAATTGATTATCCATGTTGAACCAGAGTAATCATTCCAAAATACAAATTTGAATATGTTACTCCCTTAGCCAAAAATAATATATAGACTCCCCCTGCAATAAAATGTGGAGCCCAAACTCCTAGATCGGGTTCCTGTTTTCCAGACTTTACCATCCCCACCTCCTAAGGCTCAACCACCTAGAATCCTGCAAGTTCACACAACTACCTGCAAGTGCAAGTGTATGAACCACACCAGGCTCTCTGCCACCTTTAGCCTTTGAACGTGCTCCTCCCTCTCTTTGGAAGACTCTCCCCTCCAGCTCCTCTCTACCACCAACAAAAAGCACTTCCCATGAAGTAACAGGATCTTTTTAATTGTCTACCTCTCAAAGTACACAGTAAGGAAAGTGAGGGTCAGGGTTTTGGCTCACTTATCCTTATACTCTTAGTGCCTGGCATAGTATCTGGCACAGTAGGTATGTAATGAATATTTATTACAGTCACCCCTCAGTATCCCCAGGGAATTAGTTCCAGGACACCCCTCAGATACCAAAATCTGCAGATGCTGAAGTCCCAAAGTTGACCTTGCAGAACTCACAAATACAAAAAGTCGGTTCTCACATCCATGAGTTTAGCATCCTGAGAATATTGTATTTTCAATTCATGTTTGCTTGTGGATGCAGAACCTGTGGGAATGGAGGATAGACTATATTTACAGAAAGAAATCCTAGGGCCTGCGTCCTCACGAAAGCATTGGCCTCCAGCGTGGGCTAACAGCAGAGCAGGGCAGAGCTGGCCCATGGTTGCAGACCTCTGTGCCAGCCTCCCCTAGACAAGAGCGCCGTGTCGAGGAGAAGAAATCGGCTCAAGCTCTGGGCCCATGATGCCTGCTCCTTCCAAAGACTGTGGCAGATTACGCCAACTGGGATCCGGCGGTCGCAAGGTCTAGAGGAGTCAAGAAAGCCATCACCAACGTCGTTCAGCAGGAAGTAAAATCCCTTTGTGTCTTGGAAGCCTCCCAGGTTCCTGCAGAAGAAGCTGTTTCTGGAGCTAGTGAGCCCTATGACATCATCGACAGCAGTAACTTGAAGAAGAGCAGACATGGAAGAGAAATCTGCTTTTCACTTTATATTTTTGCCTGTCTTTTAAATGTTACAGCTGTGTGTGCTTTACATATTCAAAATAAATTGTGTGTATGTGTGTGTGTGTGTGTAAATTTTAAGCAGTTAATAGGTTCAAGGCAGAAGTGGCTACAAGTTTATGCCCCAGTAGGAATCAGTTCCAGTGCTCTTCATTAATTGCCAGGCAAAATAGCCATAGTAATGTAGTAACTAGAATAAAATTTAAATTAGGTTAGTTATAAACACCCTATCCATTATCGACTCCCAAAGCTGCTTCATCCATGAATATTTAATATGCCACAAAACTATCAGAGATTGCTAATATATCCCATAATATAATATGAAACCAAAAGATTTTTCAAAAAGCTAAACTTGGGAGAGACTCATAGCAAAATGACATGTAATTCTGAGGTCATCACTGAGTATGGTACTTGAGTCTGTCGCCACATGTGAAAAGCATCTGAATATAATCCAAAAAGCTATTGCAGTCATGGGCTGCAGAATAATGCGGTGGCCAAGAGGCTGTAATATTGTGATATAATAAGATATACATATTTGGCCTTTGATCCCAGTTCCTGGCACAGAGTTCCTAAGGCCCTTGTAATTCCCTGAGCAATAGGGGTGCTAGGAGAGTCTTTTGTTCTAATATTTGGTCTTTGACCAAATATGTCAGTTCCTAACATTGAGCTCTAATCCCTTGGAATTTCCTGGGTAACAGGAGCATCTTTTGTTCTAATGAGGTGACCCCTTGGGGGACCCCTGAATGGGGACTCTGACTAGAAGGACCAAGCCATGATTAGAAGTTTGAAACTTTCAGCTCTACCCTCATCTTCCAGAAAATCGAGAGTGGCTAGACATTGAGTTAATAATCAACTATATCTATTTGATGAAGCCTCCACAAAAATCCCTGAACTACAGAGCTCCGAGAACTTCCAGGCTGGTGCACACACAGAAATGCTGAGAGGGCAGCATGCCCCAGAAGCTCTGTAACCCTTCCCACACACCTTTTCCTGTACATCTCTTCTATTTTGTTGTTCATTTGTATCCTTTGGAATATCCTCTATAATAAACTGGTAAATTGAACTAAAGAGCTTTCATGTATTCTGTGAACTGCTCTAATAAATCATCAAACCCAAGGAGGGGATTGTGGGAACCCCCAGTAGGGTTCCCAGTAGGTCAGAAGTTCCAGAAGCTTGGACTTGTGATTGGCATCTGAAGTGGGGAGCAGCCTTATGGGATCCTTTAACCTGTGGGATCTCACTGTATCTCCAGGTGAATAATGTCAGAAGTGAATTGAATTGAATTATAGGACACCAAGTTGGTGTCCACTGAAGAATGTATTGGTCAGTCTGGAAGAAAAACCAACATGTTGGCCGGGCGCGGTGGCTCAGCCCTGTAATCCCAGCACTTTGGGAGGCTGAGGCGGGCGGATCACAAGGTCAGGAGATCAAGACCATCCTGGCTAACAAGGTGAAACCCCGTCTCTACTAAAAATACAAAAAATCAGCCAGGCATGGTGGCAGATGCCTGTAGTCCCAGCTACTCGGGAGGCTGAGGCAGGAGAATGGCATGAACCCAGGAGGCAGAGCTTGCAGTGAGCCGAGATCGCGCTACTGCACTCCAACCTGGGCAACAGAGCAAGACTTCCATCTCAAAAAATAATAAAATAAAACAAAACAAAATAAAATAAAATAAAAACGAACATGTTTTGGTGACTAGAAGTGTTGAATGTTGAGAATATAGTAGGAGAAAATGGTCAGTTTGGGGGTTTTCTACAAATACACAGAGCCCTTTCGCATTGCGCAGCATCCAATTTGAATCCTGGACCTGCAAACTCATGCCCAGGATATAGTGCCATATCAAGGGCAGCATTTGCATGTTTCTGGCAGGCCGGACGTTCAGTAGCTGCAGGAGTTAGATCAGTGTTGGTGAGTGAAAGCCATGCTGTTGAACACATACAGACCTGCATCCTGCCACCATAGTTACTGCCTTCATAAGTCCATTTTTACCAGCACTAGGGTGGCCTGTGGAGAAGACTGCTTAGTGTGAACTGGCCTATAGTCACTGTTTACTTGGTTTAGAAGAGGTTTAGAGCCTCTTCTATTGTGGATGCTTTCTAGTGGGCATTAGCATGTAACACAAAGATATTCACAATTTTCCCAATTTCATAAATAAAAAGATTTCCCATTTTCATAAACCCATCCAAGTGCCTCTTCCTCAAATTTCATTGTTCTTCATCTTCTAAACCTCCTCCTTCCAAGCACTTGACCAACCAACCAAGCCATTTGCCACTGCCCATGTATTCACAAATATTCTTCCATTAGGCCATTATTCTTTCTACACAAAATAGATAATCAGGTGCACTACTCAAAGCTTTGCCCATTGGGAAGATTTACAATTTCTACTGTCTTCCAGAACTACTCTTGAGTGTGGCTATAATGCAGCAGCAGTCCATTTTCAGCTCACACCAATGTGTTGAGCAGATACATCCATGAACCAAGGTCATCTTATTTTTCCTCCATTAGCCAATCATAAAGTACCCCTCCCCCCCATGACAGATTAAAGATGGCTGCAAACTATCGGACAATCATCCCATCAGGAGGGCTATCTATTTCCCCTCCCCTTGAATCTGTGCTAGTCTATGACTGTTTTGACAAAAACAGCGTGGCAGAAGTGACACCATGCCAGCTCTGGGGCCAGCCTGTAAGAGAACTGGCTGTTCCTCCTTGCTATCCTGGAGTCCTGAATTTCCAAGTAAAAAGTCTATCATGCTGGGCAGACCATGTAGAAAGGCCCTGAGATAGCATGAAGACAGAGAAAATGAGCCCAAACTTACAGTGAACCCACCAAGGTGCCAGGCATGTGAGTGAAGCTGTCTCGGACCCTCTAGAGCAGTCCATCTGCCAGCTGAATACTTCCAAGGGATCCCAGCTGATGCAACATGGAATATAAGGAAACCCAGCCAATTTCGTTCCAAATTCTTGGCCCACAACATGTGAGATACAATAAGGTTTGTGTTCATTTAAGCCATTAAATTTGGGGAGACTTTGTTATGCAGCAATAAATAACTAGAACACTTCCATGAGCCACTGGTATAAGCAAGTTGGGAAGTACCAAGGCCACAGCGTGGAGGACATGGGAATCTGGGCCCCCCACTTCAGCACCTTGCATTTACCCTCCAGTTCTGCCCATGACTGATGCAGGATATACGACTTCTCTCTTACAACTGATGATGTTGCAACCACTAGACCTCATCACTTGATTGATTTGACAGGACCCAGCTCATGATGGACAGTTGTAGCCTAATAGCCATTTGATGTCTCATGATCAGGAGCTCTGTCTCTAGTAAGGCCCAAGAGCAAGCTAGGACTTGTTTCCTAATGGGGTTTACTTTCCTGCAGCAGACAGCATAGATTTGATGAAGAACCCCAGGGATCTATGTTGTGATTTTCCTTTCAAGGCTTGCCCAAAATGCCACACTGTATCTTTTCCCACCACTGATACCTTTAGTGCCCCAGAGTCTATTGAGTCACATGACCAAAGCACTACCACACGGCTGATATGACAGCTTAGAACAGCTGCGGACCCCAGGTCTGCTCTGGGCTTCAGTCAGTCGCTAGTAAACTGTTCCATGTGGTATTCCCATGAGTGTGGAATATGTTTCCTCTAGATCCTAAATAGGACAACCAAGCATTCTCTACCCTGGAGAAGAGGAAGGAGAAGACCAAGATTCACTGCTGGAAGAAGAAAACAGCCTATGAGGCTACAGAAACAGGCAGAAAAGAACGTGGAGAAGAAAACTGACAAATACACACAGTTCTCCTCAAGACCTATGGACTCCTGGTCTGAGCCTAATAAAGACTGTTTATTCCAAAAACCACCTCTGTATTATAAATTCTTCTGTGTAATAGTGTGTTACTGTGCATCTCTTTCCAATTCTGCATTACTGGTGTTAAGTGTGAAATGCAATAATGTGTTCTTACTTTAGAGGGATGTCCTGGCACAAAGTCTAAAAACTTCAAAGATGTGGAGGATGCTGAATCTTCACAGGGTGTATTTCCCACTCTCTGGAGTGCATTTGTCTTACCAGTGCCGCCAATATGCTTGCCCTCATGGCTCATTCTGTTTGGTTAATAAGATATTGTTGATACAGTGGAACGATGTCATGTTTTGTGGAATGTCCAGAAGGTCCACGTCCAGTGGTGTGCTGCATGCAGCTAGCTCATACTGCCTCATGGAGCCAACTGTTAAATTTTCAGAAATTGTGCAAACCAGTTGTTAAACATGACTATTATTTTAAAATAAGTTATTTTAAGGCATAGGTAACAAATCCCTAAGCTCTTCATTTTCTAGGTATTTAACTATCTTATCATATTTTCCATACTCTTCTGGTTATTTATATCTGTTATGTCTATATAATAAAGATACTAAATAATGTTGTCTGTATAATAAAAATATTCTGGATTGGTGATGAGCAACAATCACCATCTTTCGTTTGAGTCTCATGGCCATGAGACCAACCCCATGCACTGCTCTGAGACCTGCCAGCCACTCCCATTCCTGGGGTGCGGTCCTCCTGGTTCAGAAGTGATTTTCCATTAGGCTATCTTTTAATTTAAACATGAACTCTGCTGTGCCCATCACTGTCTGTGTGCAGTCACAGGTAGAGGGAGAGCCTTCAGATGGCACCCTCAGCACTTCCCAACCCTTTCCTTCCCTCTAGGCCAGAAGGTGGTGGTCGTACAATGCGAGAGCATCAACATTTCTGGCAAGTTCTACAGAAACAAGTTGAAGTACCTGGGCTTTCTCCGCAAGCGGATGAACACCTTCTGGAGGCCCTGCCATTTCTCGGCCCTAGCCGCATCTTCTGGTGGATGGTGCAAGGCCCACTGCCCCACAAGACTCACCAAGGCCAGGCCGCCCTCAACCACCTCAAGGTGTCTGACGGCATTCCACCGCCCCATGACAAGAAAAAGCTTTGGTGGTTCCTGCTGCCCTCAAGCTTGTGTGTCTGAAGCCTACAAGAAAATTTGTCCGCCTGGACACCGAGCTCATGAAGTTAGCTGGAAGTACCAGGCAGTGACAGCCACCCTGAAGAAGAGGAAGGAGAAGGCCAAGATCCACTACCAGAAGAAGAAACAGCTTATGAGGCTACAGAAATAGGTGGAAAAGAACATGAAAAAGAAAACTGACAAATACACACAGGTCTCCTCAAGATCCATGGACTTCTGGTCTGAGCCTAATAAAGACTGTTTGTTTATTCCTCAAAAACAAACAAACAAAAAAAAACCCTCTGTATTATAAATTATTCTGTGTAATGGTGTGTTACCGTACATTTCTCTACAACTCTGCATTTTCAGTAATCTCATATTGACAGTTTAAAATTGGCCATGGTGAGAATATTTACACTGCAGAAATCAGCAAATGATGTAAATCAAGGCTTTTTTGCCTGGACTTGCAGCACATCCATGTCCCATTGGACCCTATTATGACGGGAGAGTTTTAACATGGTACTGAAGCAAAAATGTAAATGTAAATGTACACTTATATCCATACCTGTAAATTCAAACTGCCTTTGGTCTTTCTTCCTGATAGTATTTGAAAAGAACACATTCAGCCAGGCACGGTGGCTCACGTCTGTAATCCCAGCATTTTGGGAGGCTGAGGCAGGCAGATCACGAGGTCAGGAGTTAAAGACCAGTCTGATCAATATGGTGAAACCCTGTCTCTACTAAAAATACAAAAATTAGCCAGGCGTGGTGGCATTCGCCTGTAGTCCCAGCTACTCAGGAGGCTGAGGCAGGAGAATCGCTCGAACCCGGGAGGGGGAGGTTGCAGTGAGCCAAGATCGTGCCATTGCACTCCAGCCTGGGCAACAGTGAGATTCCATCTCAAAAAGAAAAGAAAAGAACACATTATTCACCAGATTAATAGCCATATAACATGGACCTGAAACCGTGCTAATCAGGCACAACAGCTGTAATTACAGCTATTTCTTGGTTGAGTTTGTGCTAGTCTGGTCATCTTTCAAGTTGCATCTGATATTTGTAGTGACCAGACTGGTGAATTAAATGTGAAATATGATAGAAACAAACCCCCGCACCCTTTAAAGGTGGCCTCAATCAGCCATTTCCCTTGAATTGTGATATTGTTCTTGATTCACTGTCTTTGCGGTAAGAGGTGTAGATTCAGGGCTTCCACTTCAATCTGTAGCTCGTACTCCACAGACTAAAGAACTATGTGGGGATTCTGCCAATGGCCAAGCATGTGCATTCCAGTTACAGATTTAGAGACTGCAGAAATGACTACTGGGTAGATCCATGGACCTAGTACATGCCATTTATTAGCTGATCTCATAGGCTCCCTTTCTAATGGAAGAGAAGCATAACGATTCAGTTATATGAAGATTGGCTAAATGTTCTAAGTACTCTCCAAACCCAGAGCTTTATAATTCTCTGTTACTACAGTGTGCTCCATCTCAGAATAACTAAATAGAAAAGGAGGAAGCTGAGAACTTTAAAAACTGAGGTCCTGAATAGATGAATCATAAGCCTGAGAGGACTATCAGGATGCCCGGGACTCACTGGAGGTGGGAGTAGAGACACTGTCCTTTTTCTTCCTGTTGACAGAAAGAAGCAATGAGTGACCTCTTTTACCTACCACAGTGATGACTATTGTTGGCATATTTCCTATAGATATTCCCCTGCCCCTTTTACCATAATTTGTGGCTAATGAATTGTCTGTGGGCTATGGACCCTAGAGTCTCAGCAGAATTAATGAGCTCTTTCCCTCCGTGGGATCCCTCTACCACCATACCATGTCAACATTTCTACCTCCAATGCCACTAAAACAGAGGCACACCTCTGCCTAGACTGAGGGGGAAAATTGTTGGCAAAGAACTCAATGGCAAAGAACTCGATGGCAAAGAACTCGATGGCAAAGAACTCAATGGCAAAGTTCTGACCTTGGCTTCATCCTCCCTGCAGAGATTTGGTGGGCTTTGGTTGGTGCAAACCCTCTACAGTTAGCAGATTTGGGTTCAAACATCAGCTCTGGTGCTTACTAACTATACTGCCTTGGGAAAGTTATTTATATTTCTTTGTTTCAACTTCTTCATATTGGAAGGAAGAGAATAATATGTAGAGTTGTGAAGGATAATCAGCAGTGTAGAGTAAATGTTTAATAAACAACTTGGTTGGTGGCAGATGGGGAGAGCCCTAATTTGTAGTGTTTGCCAATTTTCATAGTGTAAATATTCCTGCCATGGCTGTCTCAAGCCACTGATGGTTTAATAACTGTCTCACAAAATTCCTAAAAATTTACTAATCAAGAGATAATCTGAGCCAGCTCCAGCTCATCACACACATGTGTGCTTAGAAAAGTGCCAGATGGTCAGCATTAGCAATCCCTATTGTGACCAGAGATGCAGTTGCCCATTCAAGGATGCCCATTCCTTTTTATTTTTTTGTTTCTTCCTGATGTACAAGTGGAGGCTGGGCACCAGTTAAGAGCTCTGTCATGGGGAATTGCTGGTACCAGAAGAGATTTTTATTTGATTGAAGGTAAGCAGAACCTTTGCTCTTTGGCTGTGAGATATCAGTTTCCGCCTATCCTCAACACTGGAGGACCAGATTTGGAGTTAAACTTACTCTAAAATCCTAGTCCTAGCACTTATTGACTAGGTAACCTTCTACAAGTCTCTTGTCCCGTCTGTGACTGTTCACTTTTTGGTAAAATTGGGATAATTTTATCTCTTTGTAGGGTCACTGTGAGAACCAGATGTTCAGGGAGTTGTTTATCACCATGCTTTGATGGTAGCTACTAACAGCAAGGGTAGCTCATGGTCACTAGACTATCATAAACCCCTTTCAAAGGACCTCCCAACTCCTTCCCCAGCTCCTAACACAATGCTGGCACTTTGGGGCTCAAGAAATGAATAAATGCGTAGACCAATGCATGAATATTTCAGAAGGAAAAGGAGTAGGAGAAAAATAATGAGAGTGGAAAAGACAGAGAACAAAGAGGGAAAGGGAAACAGTCACTAAGAAAGGTGTAATCTAAAGAGATTCAGCGATATAGCAGAGAAAGGAAAGGAATGAAATGCCAAGATAATGACAAAGTTAGAAATGTAGAAAATTAATTAGGATGACACATGATGGATGAATAAGAAACAATTGGCTATTGTTTAAGGTTACATGCAAAGAATTTTATATTACAAAGAAAACAAAGGAGGGGGCGGCAGCCAATGAGCATGAGGTTTCTTTTGGGAGTAATGAAATATTCTGGAAGTAAATGGTGTTGGTTGCACAACTTGTGAATATACTTTAAACCACTAAATTACACACTTCAAAAGGGCGAATTTTATGGTACGTTAAATACATCTCAAAAAATGAAAGCGAAGGCATAATTAAAAATTTAGAGGCCAGGCACAGTGACTCATGCCTGTAATCCCAGCACTTTGGGAGGCCGAGGCAGGCAGATCACCTGAGGTCAGGAGTCTGAGACCAGCCTGGCCAACATGGCGAAACCCCGTCTCTACTAAAAATACAAAAATTAGCTAGGCATGGTCTTGAGTGCCTGTAATCCCCGCTACTTGGGAGGCTGAGGCAGGAGAATAGCTTGAGCCCAGGAGGTGGAAGTTGCAGTGAGCAGAGATCGTGCCATTGCACTCCAGCCTGGGCTATAAAACGTGACTCTAAAAAAAAAAAAAAAAAAAAAAATTAGAATGGTGGTGACATCTTGAGGGGTGACAAATTGAGAAAATTGAGAGATCAGGGAGGGGCACACAGAAGCTTCTAAGATACTTGAAACATTTGCTCAGTTCCTTAACCTAGTTGTTTAAATATGTAACAATATTTTGAAAATTAAAAATATATTTTAAGTGAGAAAAGAATAATGGGAAAAACAGGAAGAAGACAGAGACAATGGCAGAGAGTCCTGGCAAAAAGGGAGATGTGATAGAGCTTAATACAAGATGGGGACCCTGTAAGAGGAAGACATTCCTGCCATCCTCTGAGCTCCATGGCACGTTTGTGGTGTGGCCCACCATCTCATCTCCTCCCCTCATGGCCTTCCTAAGGTCCTGTAAGACCCTGAGTCCTTGTCTCTGACCTGCCAGAGTGGCTTCAGTCTCCCACCCCCAGCCCTCAACTGACCTTCTATGCCCCAATACATCTCTATTTTAAGGAAAAAGTCCAGTCACCTCCTCTAGGAAGCTTTCCCTGATATACCCAACCAAATTGGTCAGTCATCCTACAGAACCTTTACTCTCATTCACCCAGTACATTGGTGTTACTGGCCTTTAAATTTTGGACTCTCTTTTTGGTGGTGTCTGAAAGACTACAAGATTTAGGGAGAGTGATTCTTGGAGTCTTTCGATAATGTTCCTGTGAACCCTGGTGATTTTAACATGCTTGTGGCCACTCTTGCCTCCTACTTGTAAGCTACTCATGGCAAGGACGAAGCATGTGGACCAATTTCCACCCCTCCCTGAAAGTCAGTTGGTTCAGAAACTTAGGTTGCTAAAAAGGCCAGGGCAACCAACCTGATCTCTCTATAAGTAGGGATATCTTAAAACAAAACAAAATCTCTCTCATAGATAAAACACTGTCTCTGATAAGCTTACTTGCAAATGAAAAAATACAAAATAAATGGAATGTACAGAGTTCTATAAAATTCATTCAACCAATAGAGCAATAATTGAGCCTACAGAGACAACTTATCAGAAAATTCATTCAATATACCTTACGAGATCATCCAATAGATAAGAGACAACTCTAGAACAGCATTCAGAACATAGTGGCACTCAATAAATTTCCCCTGAATGAATGAATTAATGAATTAGTGCATATTTTAATCAGCCTCCTTTGCCCTCACCCAGGAAGTCAGAGGCACCAGTGTGAGTATCCATCTGCTGTCCAGTACATTCATGGATTCCTCACTCTCACTAGACAATGTTTGACCAGGAAGAACAGGGAATGAGAAGGAGCTGCTGGATGGTGATGAGCCTTGGAAAGGGAGGCTGGGCGAGCAGAGACAGAAGAGAAACACCTACCTGCTGTGACCTCACAAACACCCAGGCTGAGTTTTGATAAGACAGGTTGAATCACACTGGGGTGACAGCCTCATCCCTCCAGGTACAAACAAGAACAGGCCATGGTTAACCAAAGCTCCACACCGGGCTTCCTCCTTCTGGGCTTCTCTGAACACCCAGGGCTGGAAAGGACTCTCTTCGTGGTTGTCTTCACTTCCTACCTCCTAACCCTAGTGGGCAACACACTCATCATCCTGCTGTCTGTGCTGGACCCCAAGCTCCACTCTCCAATGTACTTTTTCCTCTCCAACCTCTCCTTCTTGGACCTCTGTTTCACCACGAGTTGTGTTCCCCAAATGCTGGTCAACCTCTGGGGCCCAAAGAAGACCATCAGCTTCCTGGACTGCTCTGTCCAGATCTTCATCTTCCTGTCCCTGGGGACAACTGAGTGCATCCTCTTGACAGTGATGGCTTTTGATCGCTACGTGGCTGTCTGCCAGCCCCTCCACTATGCCACCATCATCCACCCCCGCCTGTGCTGGCAGCTGGCATCTGTGGCCTGGGTCATTGGGCTAGTGGAGTCAGTGGTCCAGACACCATCCACCCTGCACCTGCCCTTCTGCCCCGATCGGCAGGTGGATGATTTTGTCTGTGAGGTCCCAGCTCTAATTCGACTCTCCTGTGAAGACACCTCCTACAATGAGATCCAGGTGGCTGTTGCCAGTGTCTTCATCTTGGTTGTGCCTCTCAGCCTCATCCTTGTCTCTTACGGAGCCATTACCTGGGCAGTGCTGAGGATTAACTCTGCAAAAGGGCGGAGGAAAGCTTTTGGGACCTGCTCCTCCCATCTCACTGTGGTCACCCTCTTCTACAGCTCAGTCATTGCTGTCTACCTCCAGCCCAAAAATCCCTATGCCCAAGAGAGGGGCAAGTTCTTTGGTCTCTTCTATGCAGTGGGCACTCCTTCACTTAACCCTCTCATATACACCCTGAGGAACAAGGAGGTAACCAGGGCATTCAGGAGATTGCTGGGGAAGGAAATGGGGCTCACACAAAGCTGAGGGAGAGCTGCTTAATGTGCTTTAAAAGAGAGGAGATTCTATGTGCTTTTATCAGAAAGTTTGAGTTCCCTGCCCCTCTGCCTTCTTCACACCCATTATATTGTGGGAATGGATGAAAGCCACATGTCTGTGTGTGTGCATGTATGTGTGCAAGAGACAGCGACTGAAATGTAGTAAAGGGAGGTATCTTTATGCGAAAAATTATAGGCATCAAGTATATTTTATATTTTTTTCTACTTTAAGTCTTCGCCTCCATAGTCATGTTCCTACCTTTATCACTTCCATTTTTAATTCCCCTCCCTTGCCATATCCCCACTATTCCTTCACCTCCAATTCTAATTCCTACCATATCTTCTTTGCTTCTCCCTCATGTTTTTCCCACTTCACTATATGTCTGTTTTGTATTCTCATTCTATTTTATTCCTCAAATAACAGCAAAAGAGAAGGGGAAGCTGAAGCCCAGCTAAGTTCGGAAACTCACCCAAGAACACACAGTGTCCACAGCATCAGAACTAAAATCCAGGCCCCATAATTTTCAGTCAGGCAACTCTCAAATACACACTGTTGCTTTCACACCATAATCAAATATCCCAGTATTTCAGGCTTGAGCCTTACAAAGGAAACTTAGCTTCTTCAGTCCTATTTCTTCTCTTACAATGCCCACAAATCGCAGGTAAAGGAGCAGCCAAAAAGACACAAAAATATCTTCATGTTTAGGCTGGCACATTGTGGACCTTGGTGTCATCTACCGGCCAAATATGGTATTGCATGTGACATCCCAGACTTCTGCTCCAGGGTCATCCGAACTGTACTTTGCTCAAAGACATAGATATGGTTATGATACTATAAGCATTTATGTAATTGTTATGTTAACCCAAGTAACACTTAAAGTACAGATGCTCCTTGACTTATAATGATGTTACCTCCCAAAAAACCTATCATATACTGAAAATATTGTAAGTTGAATATGCATTTCATACACCTAACCTACCAAACATCATAGCTTAGCCTAGCCTACCTTAAACATACTCAGAACACTTACATTAGCCTACAGTTCAGCAAAATCCTCAATACAAAGTCTATTTTATAATAAAGTTTTGAATATCTCATGTAATTTACTGAATACTGTACTAAAAGTGAAAAAACAGAATGGTTATATTGGTACTCAAAGTACGGTTTCTACTGAATGTATCTCTTTTGCATTATTATAAAGTCAAAAAATGGTCAAAGTCAGGAACCCCCTGCAATTTACACATATTGACTTATTTAACCCTTATAACAACACTATGAAGCAGATAATATTATTATCCTTTTTCAGAGGTAAAAACTAAAACACAGAATTTATGTTACCACTTGCAAATGTGCAAGACAGGATTTGAACCCAGGAAAACTGGCTCCAGACTCCTTGCTCTTAACCTTGCCTTTTGGTAAAAATAATGCCTCCCAGGCCCAGGTGAAAAGCTTCAACTTCTCAACAAGCTTTGAGGAAATCATTTCAATCTAAAACTATATCTAAATGATCCCCCAGCCGAAGGGGTTTCACTTCCTTAAAATAAGAGTTTTTCAAATACTTCAAAGCATAAGAAACAACAGAACAATAAAACTTTTGGAAAAAGTTGTGTTACAGTTCATTGTGTGTGTGTTTCTGGCTTAGTTCACCCACTAGATTTCAGGCTCTCAGAAGGCAAGGACCAGAATTTTGCATAAAATTGGCACCCAGTTTTATAAATGTATAAGTGAATGAATGAATGAATGAATGAATCTTACTCTCCAAAGAGAATATATAAAAGGTTCTGGGGTTCCAATCCCACATACGCTGTCTCCCAGCTTTTCCCTGGCAAGGGCAGCAATACCAAATTCCCTTTTGAGTACACGCCGATAAAATAAGAAAAAGGAAAATCTTAGTTTTATTTCTAGTTCCAACATAAAATGATTTTGATTCAACATTTATCCTGGCATCAGCACAGAACAGCAACATTAATTCTATTATAATCCTAATCTTTATCCTAGCCATCCTTGTGTTAATCTTATTGTCTCCTTGACCTCGTTATTAGAGCATATTCTAATCTTAATGTAGAGCCCCCATTTTATATTTAATAATCCTAATCAGTCAGGCGCAGTGGCTCACACCTATAATCCCAGCACTTTAGGAGGCCAAGGCGGGCGGATCACGAGGTCAGGAGTTCGAGACCAGCCTGACCAACATGGTGAAACCCTGTCTCTACTAAAAATACAAAAAAAAAACTAGCCTGGCGTGGTGGCGTGCTCCTGTAATCCCAGCTACTTAGGAGGCTAAGGCAGGAGAACCTGGGAGGCGGAGGTTGCAGTGAGCCGAGATCATGCCACTGCACTCCAGCCAGGGCGACACAGTGAGACTCTATCTCAAATAATCATAATCATAATCATAATCATAATCTCAGCCCTACAGGTAAGGCTAAGCTTAATTCCACTTTTCAAATCACTGTAGTAAGACCTTTTTTTCATGACCCCCTCTATCTGCTTTCTCTTACTGGCACCTAGAAATGTCTACACTTTTCTCCTGTTTATCATCTCCCTACAGCCAGAGGCTATAATGTTTGTATATAGTAAAATCGTTTCTAGACTGACTCTAGGGGAAATGCAACAGAGAATTAAATAAAGCAGTCTAAAAGAATCTGCTTTGTTGAATAAATGGTTTAACATAGGACTTAGGACTAACATCTCTTATCCTAAATTCATTGTTTCCATGTGACAGTCATCTATTGGATACTCTGTGAGAAAATCCAATATAAAGTTACTCAGTCACAACCCCCACAATGTCCAGTGAAAATAGGGATGGTCAGGCACATAGTGCCAGCATACATGACAGTTACACAACTGAATTGGAGCAAATAAGAGTCTACAGGAATACAGAATTAAAGAATAATGTGTGTGAGTGCTTGGAGCGGCAGTGATCATGGAAGCCTCTTAGAGGTTTGAACCACAGAAGAGTAAACAAAATAAGAAGTATTTGCTGACTGTGTAGAAATGAGATGATGCAAAGACCCCCTTTTTAGGGGCTTGGGGACTCCTAAGCATGGAAATAAAGCAAAATCCTGTGTTTCTTCAAGGAAAATTCCAGGCACCTAGCTGGCTCTGAGAAATAAGTAGCAACTTGAAAAGCAACAAGGTAATAGCAGCCTAAGACAATAGCCAAGGAAGTTAAGCGTTCTGAATAGGTTTGCTTTCCTCATAGAAACTAAAGATAACCTCTTAACATATGTCTCTGCGTTGTCTCTCAGAAACTCGGAACCCCACCAAATGAATCTGCTGGCATAGACCTCAGAGGACAGGAAAATGACTGAACTTTATAACCATCATCCTTTGTTCTAAGTTTCTTCCTGAGGAGCTTGGAGAAAGTAACACCTTCTAGGCAGTTAACATTTTTCTACTGGACCCCAAATTTTTAAACAAAGGTTCTCTTCCTTAACTAATTGCAAATTTGGGGTTTTTTTGTTTTTGTTTGAGACAGGCTTTTGCTCTGTTACTTAGGCCAGAATGCAGTTGCAGTCGTAGCTCACTGCAGCTTAACCACCCAGGCTCAAGCAATTCTCCTGCCTCAGCCTCTAATTAAAAAAAATTTTGTGTGTGTAGATACAGAGTCTTGTTATGTTTCCCAGGCTGGTCTCAAACTCTTGGCCTTAAGGGATCCTCTCTCCTTGGCCTCCCAAAGTGCTGGGATTACAAGCATGACCCACACCTGGCCAGAAAAATCTTTGAATCTACCTATAACCTGTAAGTCCCTGATTCAAGATATCCCACCCTTTTAGATCAAAACCAATGTGGAGGCCGGGCACGGTGGCTCACGGCTGTAATCCCAGCCCTTTGGGAAGCAATGTGGGCGGATCATGAGGTCAGATCAAGACCATCCTGGCTAACACGGTGAAACCCCATCTCTACAAAAAATACAAAAAAAAAAATTAGCCAGGCGTGGTGGTGGGTGCCTATAGTCCTAGCTACTCGGGAGGCTGAGGCAGGAGAATGGCATGATCCTGGGAGGCAGAGCTTGCAGTGAGCCAAGATCACACAGCTGCACTCCAGCCTGGGCAACCGAGCAAGACTCCATCTCAAAAAAAAATGTGGAACCTCTATGCACTGATTTCCAATGTTCCTTGTAGCTTCTGCTTTTCTGAAATTTACCCCTGCCTTTTTTTGTTTCCTGTTTTTTGAGACAGGGTCTTGCCGTGTTGTCCAGGCTGGAGTGCAGTGGCATAATCATGGCTCAGTGCAGCCTCAACCTCCTGGATTCAAGGGATCCTCTCACCTCAGCCTTCTGAGTGGCTGGGAGTACAGGCATATGCCACCATATTTGGCTAATTTTTTTATTTCTTGTAGAGTTGGGGTCTCACTTTGTTGCCCAGGCTGTTCTTGAACTCCTAGGTTCAAGTGATCTTCCTGCCTCAGCCTCTCAAAGTGCTGGGATTACAGGTGTGAGCCACTGCACACTGCCTTACCCCTGCCTTTAAAAACCCATGTTACAATAGTTAGTCAGACACGAGCAGGGCAGGAAAGGGCCTCCTTCCCCACCAGGAATGTCAGGCAACCATCAGGTGATAGGCGGTTGTTAAGCTGTCTCTCTAAAATAATCATTGGTCACAGCCTGTGCCAGGGAAAAACAGTCTCCCAATAAATAGAAAAACCTGAAACTAAGATCTCAGGAGTTGGGCAAGTGGGCTCATGCATGGGCACTAAGGGAGAAATGACAGCATTTAACTGGTTTATAACCTTATAGGAACACTCCCTGGTAAGGGAAGAATGCCTCAAGTCAGCATGCATACTACTCCAGTAAACATACCGTGCATGCAGCCCCTCCCAAGCACTAGCAGGCCACTGTACATGCAGACAGCCCACCCCAAGGGAAGATTCAGGGGAGAAGGGACCCTGGAACCCTGCCAACATATAAAACCCTAAGTCAAGGTCAAAACCACGCACTTGATCTCTCAAGTTGCCTGCTTGGCCCCCTTCCAAGTTGGCTTTACTTTATTTTGTTCCTGCTGTAAAGCTTTTTAAT
Organism: Homo sapiens; assembly: GCF_000001405.40. Taxonomy (NCBI): domain Eukaryota; kingdom Metazoa; phylum Chordata; class Mammalia; order Primates; family Hominidae; genus Homo; species Homo sapiens. The sequence goes on from NT_167244.2 coordinate 859,606, forward strand.
AAACTTTTACTCCTGTTCTAAAATTTGCTTCGGTCTCTTACTCTGCTTTATGCCCCTCAGTCAGATTCTTTCTTCTGAGGAGGCAAAAATTGAGGTTGCTGCAGACCTGTACAGATTCGCAGCTGCTAACATATTTTCATGCCATGTAACTCTGATACATTCTGCCGCTAATACCCTTGCCTGCAAGACATCAGGGAGGCCAGGACTTGAGTGTTTAGCTGCCTGGTCCTCCCTGCGTAGTGTCCTGCAACAAATGCCTTTCTTTCTATTGGTGCAATCCTTGGTGTAAGTATCTGGTTTTATTGCACCAGGCAAGCAGACCCCAGTTTGGTTCTATAACAGAAAAGGCTAAAGACAAAAATAAGCATGTTGTGCATTAAGATAGGGAGATGTGGGGGAAGGAGTTACACCGAGGAGCAAAATGATTAAGCAGGAAGGTAGAGATTATTTCAGAAAGATACAGAAGCTACTGAATTGAATACAACCAGAAAAAAAAAAAAAAAAAAGGATCCCTTACAGATGTTTCAAACCTACATGATTTAGGTCTCCTGAGGGCAGGCACTTAACTATTCATTCTAACATGACATGTGAGTTGGAAGCCTTAAAGGAACATTATTCAAGAACCTCGTCTCTACTAAAAATATGAAGTCTCTAATAAAAATTAAAAAGTCTCTACTAAAAATACAAATAATAATAATAATAATAGCCAGGGCTGGTGGCAGGTGCCTGTAAACCCCTTGCTTGGGAAGCTGAGGTAGGAGAACCACTTGAACCCAGGAGGCGGAGGTTTCGGTGAACCGAGATCACGCCACTGCATTCCAGCCTGGGAGTTAGAGTGAGACTCCATCTCAAAAAAATAATAATAAAATAAAATAAACCTCAAACGTCTGAAGGGCTCACCGAATCATGAATAGATGCTTATGTGTAGGGCCCAGCCCTGTCTTATCCTTCTATCTCCCAGGGAAGGGGAAACCTTCTGGCTCCTCCTATGCAGAATTAATCGCTCACCCTTGAAGGGTACCAGTATATGCCACCTCAAACTATCTTTAGCATGTGGATTATTTTGAGCTAACAATTGAAAATCATCAGACTAGTGAATGCTGTAAAACAGGATACAAGTTTTCCTTTTGTAAATAAATTCACATCTGTAAAGGTACAACTCTTACTAATGGAGAAGACATCAGTTTAAATCTACATAACAAACCTTTTCTATCTGTAAAGGTACAACTCTACTAATGGAGAAGACAGTTTAAATCCACATAACAAACCTTACTAAACCACTTTGTTCCATATTTTCCTGGTCACTTTCCCATAACTTGCCTGCCCATCTACCACTCACCCAGAAGCCCCAAACTCCTTTTCCTTTACCTAGCCAAGATGGTATACAGTTGCTAAGAACAACACGATTTGAACTCCATGGATTCACTCACACATGATTTTTTTCAGTAAGTATATTGAAAATTTTTGGAGATTTGTGACAATTTGAAAAAACTCACAAACCACATAGCTTAGAAGCACTGGAAAAATTAATGGGCCAGGTGCTGTGGCACATGCCTGTAATCTCAGAACTTTGGAAGGCCAAGATGGATGCATTGCTTGAGCTCAGGAGTTGGAGACCAGCCTGGGTAACATGGGGAAACCCCATCTCTGCAAAAAAAAAAAAAAATTAACTGGGCATGGTGGCACGCACCTGTAGTCCCAGTTACTAGGGAGGCTGAGGTGGGAGGATCTCTTGAGCCCAGGTGGTTGAGGCTGCAGTGAGCTGTGATTGCACCACCTCACTCCAGCCTCAATTAAAAAAATAAATAGGGCTGGGCACGGTGGCTCACGCCTGTAATCCCAGCACTTTGGGAGGCCGAGGCAGGTGAATCACGAGGTCAGGCAATCGAGACCATCCTGGCTAACACGGTGAAACCCCGTCTCTACTTAAAAAATACAAAAAATTAGCCAGGCGTGGTGGCACACACCTGTGATCTCAGCTACTTGGGAGGCTGAGGCAGGAGAAACGCTTAAACTCAGGAGGCGGAGGTTGCAGTGAGCCGAGATGGTGCCACTGCACTCCAACCTGGGCGACAAAGACTCCATCTCAAATAAATAAATAAATAAATAAGAGAAAAGTATGTCATGTGTAAACCAAAAATAAAATTCTAAGCCCCCTAACTGACAGGAAGAGAGGTAAGACATGCCAATGATACCCTCCTTCCTCTGGAGTTTAGGGACAACTGACCAGCATTAACATTACAATAGAGATCATAAGACTGACAAAAGATTCTCTGTAGCAATAAAATAGTCAACTCCAACCTGACTCTGATACAGCATCACACCACAGATAGCAGGCCCTGAAGGAAATCAAAGTATTTTACCCCAAAATATACTTATTTGACATTTTGAAATGACTCTGCAAAGCCATTTCTTGTCATGGGGATTTGCATTTTGTAGAGAATCCCCTTCCCCTTCCAGGTCTTTTTCTGATCCAGGAGGGATTTTACTAATGAGTCTGACATCTTTTAAGGTGCGATAAGAAACATTTACCATCTATTCTTTCTGAGGCCTGGAAGCTTCATCTACGTAACAAGAATCTTTGCTTCCACAAACATCTCCCCCAACGCCACCTCCACGCCCCCTTAACTCAAGCATTTCTTTCTGCTGACTTCAACTCTTTAGGCAGGGCTTAACTTTTTCAACCAATTGGCAATCAGAAAATCTGAATCCCCCTATGACCTGTGAGCTCCCTTGCTTCGAGATGTCCCGCCTTTCTGAGCTGAACCAATATATACCTTACATGTATTGATTTATGTCTGTGTCAGCAACTTCTGGCTCCCTAAAATGTATGAAACCAAGCTGTAACCCAACCACCTTGGGCACATGTTCTCAGGAACTCCTCAGGCTGTGTCACAGGCCATGGTCACTCATAAATGGCTCAGAATAAACCTCTTCAAATATTTTACAAATTTTACTTTTTTCATCAACAAATAAATGTATAAAATATATGTAGATACTACCAAAAAATATACACAAATCTACTATAAAAACCAAAAATTTGGCCAGGCACTTAGGGAGGCTAGGTGGGCAGATTGCTTGAGTCCAGGAGTTCATGACCAATCCGAGCAATATGGTAAAACCCCATCTCTACTAAAAATACAAAAAATTTGTCCGGCATGGTGGCATGTATCTGCAGTCCCAGCTACCCAGGAGGCTGAGGTAGGAGGATCACCTGAGCCTAGGAGGTTGAGGCTGAAGTGAGCCAAGATCATGCCACTGCACTCCAGCCTGGGCAACAGAGTGAGACCATGTCTCAAAAAATAAATAAAATTTATCAAAACTTACGCACACACTTACAGACCATACATAAGCCACTCAAAGTCAAGAGAAAGCTTAACAAAAGATGCAGAATTAAATCATAACGGCATAAAATTAACTGTAGTGTATACTGTTCTACTGTAATTTGATAGCCACCTCCTCTTACTATTGCAAAGAGCTCAACTGTTGCAAGTATCTGCCTAAAATGCCAAGTGACACTAATCATCTCTGCATGAGCAGTTCATCTATCCAGTAAATTGTGTATAGCAGTAAAGAGTGGTCTCTCAAGATTCTTGCATATATTTCATCATGTCTAGAGCAATACTGTGAACCTTAAATAACACCATAGGGCCCATATGAAGTGCCAACAGTGATGCTGGAAGTTCTCCCAAGAAGCAAAGTCATGACTCTATAAGAAGTTGAATTGCTTGATATACACCATAGATCAAGGTCTGTTGCTGGGGTTGCTGCCATTTCAGACAGACGATTCATCATGTAAATGATGTAAACTTAAGGCATCAATAAATACAGTATAGTACCCTATATGTATTTTCCTTACAATTTTCTTGATAACATTTCCTTTTCTCTAGCTTACTTTATTATAAGAATACATATATAAGATGTATAGCATACAAAATATGTGTTGATCAACTGTTTACACTACTAGTAAGGCTTTCAGTCAACAGTAAGCTATTAGTAGCTAAGTTTGGAGAGAGTCAACAGTTATGTGCAGATTTTCGTTTGTGTGTGGGGTCAGTAACCCTAAACCCCAAGTTGTTCAAGGGGCAACTATATGAGCTCCAAATTCTTTTTTTTTTTTTTTTTGAGTCAGAGTCTCGCTCTGTCAACCAGGATGGAGTGCAATGGCGCGATCTCTGCTCACTGCAACCTCCGCCTCCCAGGTTCAAGCAATTCTCCTGCCTTACCCTACCGAGTAGCTGGAATTACAGGTGCCTGCCACCACACCCGGCTAATTTTTGTATTTTTAGTAGAGACAGGGTTTCACCATGTTGCCCAGGCTGGTGTCAAACTCTTGACCTGAAGTGATCCCCCAGCTTCAGCCTCCCAAAGTGCTGGCATTACAGGCATGAGCCACCACACCCAGCCATGAGCCCAAATTCTAACCGCCCCTTTGCATTGTTCACCACTGGGTACTCCCATGTGTACATGCATGAAGCAAATGTTAATAAACTTCTATTTGTTTTTCTCTCATTAATCTGTCTTATGCCACTCTAATTTACACAGCCACGGCTGGAGAACCTAAGACAGGAAGAGGAAAAGGATTTTCTTTCCTACACTCCCTACACACACCTGGGGAATGCACTCTGCAGGCCACATGACGTTGCTTCTGCATCTGTCTCCCTAGCTTTGCTGCATCAGTCCCAGTGTCCAGCCCACACAGGCCTCAGTACGTGTCCCTATCACAGCTGCTGCTGGTGCTGAACTCACCTTCCAGGAGAGTCTCCAGCATATCCTTCCACACTCCAGGGAGCCATGTAAGTGGATGCCATACTGGTTAAATATTTTGAGTAGCATCCCATTTGAGGGAAGCTGTCACTTAACATGAACCCACCATAAGGTGGCTAATGAATAGCACCTTTCTGCCTGCCTTCAAGTGACAGCCTCCCTTAACATGAAGCCTACCTTTTGGTAAGCTTCATGTCAAGTGATAGCTTCCCTCAAGGGCAAAGTCACAGAATTATCTGTTTCAAAAGCCTGAGTGGATAAACAAACTGTTGCCTATCCAGGGTGTCCTAAAACTACCAAGGACTGTGGGAGGAGCAATTGGCAGGACCATCTTCAACACTTCCCATTTTCTGCTGGGGTGAGATCACAGCTGGCCCCCAAGCATCCAGAGGAATCCAGGGCCTGGTAAGAGGCTGTACGACAGCAAATATACAAGGCTAGGGTGCTCAGCTCAGAGGGCGGACAAAGAACATGTTAAAGTGAAGTGAACACTGGCTTTGCAGCAGGCAGACCAGATGCAGCAGGCTGCTTTTACCAAAGCAGCCTGCAACACACATTTGTCCCATTCCACATGTTCTCTTTACAGTGTGACTTACGCTCATCCCACCAACAGGTGAAGTGTTTCCTCTCCTGAACCTAGGCATGGCCTTGTGACTGCTTGGACCAGTGGAATATCTCAGAAGTGATGCTACGTGACTTTCAAGGCTTTGTCAGGGAAAAAAAAAATACAGCTTAAACCTGGCTGACTCTCTACAACTGCCTCCACTTGCCTTTGGAACTGTCATTAGGTCATGAGGAATACCAGGCCACATGGAAAGGTCATGTGTAGGGGTCTCAGCTGACAGCCAATACCTCCTTTAGATGCTGAGTGAAGGATCTTTTGGACAACAAACCTCAGACTTCAGATCTTCCAGATGCTGTGGAGCAGGGTGAACCCTCCCCACTGTACCCTATCTGAATTTCTAGCCCACAAAAACCATGATGGATAATAAATGATTATTGTTGTCTGAAGCCATTTAGGGTAACAGGTTTTGTGGCAATAGATAATAATATATGCAGTTTGAATACTGGCTTTGCTCCTTAGTTTTGTGACCCCAGAAAATGAACACACAGTCCCCTTGCTTTTAGATTTGTCCTTCACACCAGAGCTAATGGCTGTGAGATGCCCAACACTCCTGGTTGCTCTCTTAAGTGATCACGTTTGTTTTTCTGCTCACTGGTCATCTTCCCACGTCGAGAAGGTACAACGCTTGAAAGCCATCTTACTCACCATTTTGCCTCAGTGCCAAAAAAAGCACCTGCCACAGCAACTCACCATCAACACTTGTTGAAGATCACCTAACTAATGTAGCAGCCAAGTGCGCACAAAGTGCTCTCTACTGGTAGACAACCAACAGGAGGGCAGGGAGGCAACAGGCTAAGTCAGGGAAAAGCAGGGGACATGGAAGCCTGCAGGCAGTCTACATTCTAGGACATTCCAGAGTTAGAAAGTGATCTGAACCCTACCCAAAGGCAGGTCTGAAAGGCAAAGCCTGCCTCACAGTGCACAGGGAGCAAGTCCTCCCAGAACTGCCAAGCGGTAGCCTCTCCACCTGGCAACACATCTCCTTTGCACCCCTTGGGGTACAATTATATATTAATTATGTATCATTGTGTGTGTGTATATGTATATATGTGTGTGTGTATGTGTGTGTATATCTCATTGTAATTATATATAATGTACTAATAATTAGTATTAGTGCTAATCAATAGCACCATTCACCCTGAAAAGACACTTTCAGAAATGAATACATGAAGTCTCATTGTAGATAAGCATTGACAGATGAACATTTGCAACTGATCTTAATCATCAGGAACATTAACTGTGAACTCAAATAAGTAGTTATCTCAAAATTGTTTTTCTTATTAGTAGGAGGCCTGTATGAAAAATAGTGCTCAGTCATGTTTTAAATTTGGCCAGTAAAAATCTTACAAGTTCTCTTCTAAGTACCTTTTTAATATTCTCAATCTCACTCCTTCCCACCCCTTTGCACTGGGCACTCTGCTAGCCGCACCGTTTGGCTCTCGACTCCTGCACTCCTGCTAGCAGAGTGTCTGGCTTACCTTTGGCCACAGTAGAACTTTTCACCCTTTGTTTATAATTTACAGCCCACTTAAGTGCAATGCAAGTTTGAGATGATAATTTGGGTCTTTTAGGTTCTACCCAGGGCTGTTCTATAGCTCCTGCTACTGTTGTTTCTTTTTTTTTTTCTTTTTTTTTTTTTTTGAGACAGTCTCACTCTGTCGCCCAGGCTGGAGTGCAGTGGCACAAACTCACTGCAACCTTCATCTCCTGGGTTCAAGCAATTATCTGCCTCAGCCTCCCGAGTAGCTGAGATTACAGGCACCCACCATCACGCCCAGCTAATTTTTGTATTTTTAGTAGAGACAGGGTTTCGCCATCTTGGCCAGGCTGGTCTTGAACTCCTGACCTCGTGATCCACCCACCTCAGCCTCCCAAAGTGCTGGGATTACAGGCGTGAGCCACCACACCCAGCCTCCTGCTGCTGTTCTGATGCCAACTATTCATTTTCCAAACTGCAGGCTTATCTACTCCATAGACTTCTTCTCTTTTCCTAGCGGATATTTCACTGTGGGAAGAAGAGAGACTCAAATTAAGTCCAACTGGTCCAAGGTGGATAATCACAGTGGAAAGTTTTTCAAGTACTGGTCTAAGATTCAACCAGCCCATGCTTTAGTGGAAGTTCAGAAATTGGCTCTTAACAGGTCAGTGAATGACAGGGCCCATCCAACCCTTGCAGCTGTCTTACAAAAATCTGAGAATCACTTTAAAAATCAGTGCCAAAATAAAAGAAAATTTGAGCTTCAAAAAAGCACTCTCCAAGATGACACAAAAAATGTTTAAAGTCTCAGGCAAATGTTTTTGCCCTTGTCCATTCAAGATTTTTTTTCAGTTTGATAGCAAATTATTTCCAAGATGCTCAGAGTTCCTAAACAAAGATGTTTAAGGTTGGAAGCACTCAGCAGCCATCTCATCCATTACCTTCTAGCAGTCATCATTCTTTTACTCTTCTTAGTTCCTGGGAAGGAGCGTCCCTAGAGGGGATGCTTAGGCACTTGCTCCAGGCTCCCAATACATGCCCACTACTGTCAAGGAACTCATTAAACAGCAGGGACAGAGGCTAACATTCACGCAACATATACCATGGCCCAAGGGCCAACCTAGGCACCTGAATGCACAATTTATAATAGTCTTTGTACCCAACCTATGGAGGAATGTATTACTGTTATTCTCATTTTCATAAATGAGGACATGGGGAATAGAGACTAAGAAAATGTTTGCATGTGGTTGGATCTGATACCCTGGCAGTCTGACTCCAGAGCCCACACTTTTAACCAGTAGTGTCCTCACTCACTAATCTCAGACTTAATCATGTCCTGCTTCATTCTGCTAAGCCCTCAATGGATCAATAAAACACCTCTTTTCACCCTCCGCTTTAATGCCTTTTCATGAACTTGGAGTCCTCTGAGCCTCCCTTCTTGGATTGAAGCCCATTCTGTTCACAGGAAGACTGCAAGGTGCCGAGTCACACTGTTCACTGGTTTATTGAGATTCGGGGAGATCCTTCCCCAAGAGACACCACAGTGTGAAAGGGACACCACCTCCCACCCCATAGGTCCATCTGTCTATCCCAACAGTCAAGGGTGCCTTCCTTTGGTCAGGATTCTCATCAACTATCCACTGGAAGCAGCTCTCCAAACCTGCCCCCACTTATTTTTCCTTAATTCCCCTCAAAAAAACACAAAACAAAAGGGAGCAGTCTTGGGAGAAGATGATTGTGAGTGTAGACTGAGGGTAGTACATGAATGCAATGGAGATGGGGGGAATCTGAGCAGAAATGGAGATTCTGTGACAAGGAGAGGGTGTGGATGGCCCCACCAAACATGAATTGGGGAAAAGTGCATAACAATGTGCAGGGTAGGGTACATATGGCTCTGTCAGAAGAATACCATGATTTAAGGGAAGAAAGTACACAAGGTACATGGAGGGTACACAGGGAAAGTACATGGATAAACATGGACGTGTGCAAATAGGAAAGACATGACTCAGCATGCTAGACAAATTGCACATGCCTACCCAAACACGCTCAAGGGCAGACCCATGACCATGAGAGGGGCACACGTAGCTGTGAATGCAGGGCACCCGAGAGCACATGTGACTGAACATGAAGAAAGCATACGGGAAAAGCGTGTGTACACATGAGCATGTTCAGTGGGCACACGCAGGAGAGGGGAGGATGCATGTGTGCTGAGCGTGAGTGCACAGAGCAGAGGCAAGGAGCATGTGAGCCTTGGCGAAAAGAATGAGCTCCCAAAGGAAGCAAAATTCAGGGGGAGCCACATGTGAGAAAGTATGGAAGGGCAAGTAAGATGGAAAGAGATTATGACAGTGGAGAAAAGGAGAGGCCCCTTTGGGGTGGAAAGAGCACTTGTTGGGAGACCCCTGCTGGACAGGAACAGAGCACAAAGGCAGAGGAGCTGCAGGGGTTGCCGTGGTAACTAGAAGAGGGTGTTGCATGGGAAGAGAAAGATGCAGTGAGGCTGCTGAGGAGGCAGCGTGTGAGCAGTGAGCAGCTTCAAGCCAGGTACGAACTAAATTGTGAAGAGGTGATACAAAATTACATGAAGCAGTAAGAGAGAAAAAGGTCTGTTTCCCAGAGGTATGAGAGACCCAAATCAGCCCAGAACTCACAGGGGGACATGTATTTACAAGAGATGAGATTGGATAGCATGTTCTTCCCAGCTGGGGATGGGGACCCCCTGCTTCCTGAGTCCCCTGCCCTTCCCCTCTCCCTTTCCCTCCCCCTACTGGCCTGTCCTCCCTCACCCTACCCTCACTTATAAAGCAAATGCACTCGACTCCCATCACAGCTAAGCCGGTCGGGGGGCTCAGGGGGTCCCCTGGGCAGGCCCCCAGAGGGTTCTGGGGGTGTCGGTGGGTGGCGCCGGGAGCGGAGCTGCTGCCGAGACTGGAGTTGATGGCGCAGTTCAGAGACACGCTCCTCTTTCTGGAGGAAGAAGCACAATTGGGATAGTAGGAGAAGAGGAGGTGATGAAGGGGTGGGGAGGAGGGAAAGAGAGGAAGGGCACAGGGAAAGAGAGGAAGGGCACAGAAAAATGTAGGGGGAGGACGTAGGGTAAGTGGACAGAATAAATTAAAAGGAGAAATCAAAACAGAACAAGAAAAGCCAGAGAACATAAGGATACCGATAGAAAAAATGCGATCAGGGAAATAAGAGAGAATTTAAAAACAAAAGGAAAAAGTGGGGAAGGAGAGAAAAGTCAGTGCACAGAGCTTCCAATAAATCAGAGAGATGTGTCAACCCAGTTGGAACATCCCTCTCTTTGGCATTGCACCAGCCCCTAATGACAGCCTGGGGCACAGTGAACGCCTGCCCAGGTCCTTTATGCTGGGGCTGCATGCTACACCCAGCTGCTGTGAGTGTTGACTACTAGAGGCTCACAGCTGCCTCTCTCCAGTTGTCACCTACAGCCAACAGCCATCCTCTTGCCTTAAGGAGGCTGAGTCAACCACATAGCTCCCACTCCAGAGCCCTTCCACCTGCCAGGCCAACACTGGATTTTGCCTGAGATAGAATCTTGCTCAGCCCTTTCCCCTCCCCTATGCTGCTCCATTCACTCCTTACAGGTTGTCTCCTAGGACCCTCCCTCCACGAGCCAAGAACATCTGACCCTGTATCTCAGGCTTGGCTTCAGACAACCCAAGCTAAGACGCAAGCCTCCTGGACCACTCCAACACCCTACCCTGACACCCACCCCCGCACCTCAGCAATGATCTTTTCCAGTTCACGGTTCTCCTTCTCCAACAGCCGGGACTTCTCCTCCTCGTTGTTGTTGGTCGATGACCCTGTCTTCATGGTGTCCTGCGCCTCCGACTGCCATTCCCCTCGGGTGATCAGCCTGCGCATCTGGGGGCAAATGTTTGGGCGTGGGGTGGCCCAGCAAGGACTGTACTAGTGACTGGCTGATGGAAGGTTGGAGGTGGAAGGAATGCTGATAAGAGTTGGGCCCAAAACAAGGGGAGGAGTGAGAGGAGGGTGAACGGAAGGGCAGAGGAACTCAGTAATATAGGAAGGAGGGATGGAGGGAACATGGGAACAAAGAGGGTGGGAGAAAAGCCAGATCCTTACCTTGGGCACAAAGAGCACAACAAGAGTGATATAGGAGGAGAAAACTATGGCAAGAGAGGCAAAGGCAAAGGCTGCATCCTGCTGGCTGGACAGAATCATGGTGACAGGAGCAGTGATGAGGCACAGGACCTAGAGGGAAAGACACATTGAGGGAGTCTCAGGTCTGCAGGCTCAGACAAGATCCAGAGTTTACTTCCCATGGGAGGGAGTCTATGCAGACAGTTTCCTGGTGAACTTTCCCTTTGAAAAGGATCCAAATTCAGGATCATCCTCAAATATAGATTGAGAAAAATCTCAAACTGTCCCAAACCAGTTTTCACTCTTGGTTAACCCCTCCCCTCAAGGCAGGAACTCCCAGGATCTCTATGCACAGATTCCGGGTCCTCCAGAGTCGGTCCCTGGCAGGAAATGTCAATAGAGTCCAGCCCATTAACCACAGACAAGCAATTTAACGTCTCTGTGTTTCTGTTTCCTCACCTATAAAGTGGGGATACTAATATCTACTTCACTGGGTAGTTGCAAGATTAATGATACAATGTCTGTAGTGAGCTTTGTAAACTGTAAAGTGCTTTATAGACCTGAAGAATTAACAAACTTTTTAAGACTTCTAAGCAACCGATCCCAGATCTAGCATTGATTCTTCCTAGTCCTCTATATCTGGGCTGCTGTGGTCAGCCTACAGGGTCAATGCCATGGGGTCAGTGCTCACTGCCACATTGTAGATAGCCATGCCCACAGCCCGGTGATCATTGATCTTCTCAGTGGACACACTCTTGGTCTCATAAGCAAGGAAGATTCCCAGCAGCAGCAGCAGCCCCTTGTAACCATAGAAAATGCCTAGGATGGCAGGAGAGAGTCACTTGAGCAACAAGGACCACAATGCTCCTCACTCAATCCCCATCCCCTCTCTGCCCTTCACCTACTCTGAAATGGAAAGGGGGCCCTCCTCTCCAATCCAACCCCTCTGACCTAGCAAACCTCACCCTGTGTCCCCTATCCCTTATGTCCACCCAACTTGCCCAGACCACATCACTTTTTCCTGGGATTCACACAGGAAAGCAATGGTGGCAAGCTGCTGTCAGTCAGGCAAGGGCTTGTTGAATATCTAGAAATAGGCCAGTCTGGGCCACACATGCCTCACCCTTACCCTACAGGTGGGAAGGTGGCTTTCCAGGCAGAGGGTAGGTTTGCAATTTGTGACCATGAATCGAACAATGCTAATAAGGCCAAGGGGGATCTAAAAGATAATGTCAAGTCTGGAGGTGGGGTTACCCCCACTTGTTCCTCTGCTGAACACAAGTTCTTCATCTGTGCTTTCTGTGCTTTGGGCCCTAAGCTCCTCATAGCAAAAGAGCAACTCTCCCCTATTCTCAGAAAAGATTAGTGCAATAACAAAGAGTAGGGTGTTCAAACTGGGTTGACAAGCTCTCTACCTCCTCTTCCAAAGACCCCTCTCCCTCCAAGCCCTCTACCCCTGCCTTCCCTCCTGCCTTTGTGCATCCCTGCCCTCCTTTGCCCACATCCCACACACCAAGCCATGTATTCATCTTCCTGGAGCTGCAATGCTCCAGCTGGGGCAGAATAGAGACGTCAATATCTTCCTTAGGTTCCTCCTTGGCAAATGTCTAGGGCAGAAACAAGGTCACAAGAAAGATGGTTGCCAGCCTCCCCTCCTCTCCTCAACGCTTCTCAGTCTCTGGCTTCCAACTGTTTTCCTATGAGACCCTCAATGCTGATGCCAAATCTCATTCTAGGCCTAAGAATGTTTTCCTGAACCCTTGGAGGTGCTTGTTCCCCACTTTCCCTGATGCCTGGAAGTTCTACACACCCTTCCCAGATCCCCACCCCTTCCTTTCTTCAGCTGAATCTGGAGGCCTATGAGGGGCTCCTTCTAGGAAGGAAAGGAAGAGCTTCCAATACGAGGAAGGCACTCTCTCCAAGTAGCTTCATCCCTCAAGACCACACACAGCCCCAGGGCCCTGATGGCCACTGAGCCCTGCTCATTCTCCTGACCATAGCACCTCCTCTCCAGTGGTACCTCAATGGTCCGGTGCAGAGGGTCCACGATCTGCCAGATGGCGAGAGTGAGGACATCCATGCCCACCAGCAGGCCCACTGTGGCATACAGCTTCCAGGGTTCCAGAGTCTGGATAAATATGTGGGGAGAACAGGCACGTCAGGGGAAAATGCTCTGTGCCCCAGGAGCCAAGGATCTGGGGGCTGAGGATTGGGCAGCAGCTCACCTTCCTCCACTCCTTCTTTTCTTCCTTCTTTGTGAAGACCGTGTGGACCCACCAAATCTTGGTGAACATGGAACCGTAGCCCAGACTAAAGCCCAGGCCCAGGAGCCAGAGGCGGGCCTAGAAAAGAAGAGAGGGCACAGGCAGAACAGGGTAGAGTAGTAGCCGGGACTGCAGTAAGGATGGGCAGAACCCTAAGGGAGAGTGGGCAGGGAGCACGGGCAGGGAGCTCATGGTGGCACAGGGAGGATGCGAAAATGTGAGCAGGACGGGGAGCGGCAGGAGGAGAGCAGTCTCCCCACCTTGAACAATTCCTCCCATCCACCCTCTACTTCCACACCACCAGGGTGATCTTGCTAAAACCTCCTGGCTTTAGTGGCCAAAAACCTCCAACCACTCCCCAATATCTATAAGTTATAGCCTGAACACTTCTGGATATGACACAGACCCTTCACAACATGCTCCCATCCACCTGTCCAGCTAGGCTCATCTCCCAGCCCCACACCTACCCCACGCTCCAGCCATGCTGAACTACTCACTTTCTCTTCATCTACTCTCTTTCATGTATTTTCTAGCCACACGATGCTCCCTATGCCCCTGAAGTAGCCTTCCTCTATTTCTCTAGCTGATAAAATCCTATTTGTCCTTCAGTATTCAAATGCCACCTCTTCAGTGAGGTCCACCCAATCACGCCAGCAGTGAACTGTGTTCCCTTCTTTGCCCCCAAAGCACTTTGTGCAGATCCCTACTCTGGAACCTCTCCTATTGCACTACAGCTAATTGTCTGCTTCTCCAGCTGCACTCTGGCCTCACTGGGAACAGAGGATTCCTGATGAACTGCATGTGCATGTGCATGGAAATGCCATGTGCACAGATGTATGATCAGGACAGCACAGAGCAGAGGAAAAAGAGAGAGCAAGGACAGGCAGGCAGATCAGGAGAAAGAGTGGGTGTTTCCACCAGTGGAAAAGAGAACCACTCAACTATCACTGTTGAAGCTGGCCTCTCCCCACAGCACTAGAACCTTCCATGTACCAACAGTCCCAGAGCCCCTCCTCCCTGTGTGGCAGTGGTCCCTTCCCCCCAACTCTCTGCTGTGTTTCCATCTCTGCTTCTATCCTTCCAAACCCAACAAAGGCTCCCAAAAAAAGTCCACAGTTCTGATTCTCAGCCCCCATACCACAGACAAGCCACCATTGTTCAGGAGACCTTTGAGCAGACCCCCTTCCTTTGCCTTCAATGGCTCCCTCCTCTTCTCTGCAAGGCCTGCCATGGCAACCTTGGAACTGACAAGTAAACTACAGAATGAAAATGGCCTGCAGACACAGAAAGAAGGGACAGAGCCAAACAGAGAACAGAGGGGTGATGCTAGAAGGAAAGAACAGGGACAAGAGTCAGGGAAAGCTGAGGAGGAAGGGCAGAGAATCATAAATCATGGAAGGTGCTCCTGAGACGGGTGGGAGAGTCACATCCTGTAAGGAATTTGCCCACCACCTCCTCACCTGGCAGACGAAAGGGAACTGGTTCCTCCCAATGTGGTAACCATCGAGCCCCAGGGGGAAGACAGCAGCTAAAGCCAGTGAGCAGCCCACAGCAGTCAGGTTGTTCAGGTTGGGCTGTGAGTTCTGGATATAACTAGGGCAGAGGTGGAGAGGGTGAGAGGGAGAGAGAATTACCCCTCTTCTCCAGGGAGGCTGAGCTCTCCAAATACCACGCAATGGCATGACCCTAATTTCAGGGCCAGGGGCTAAAGGAAGACAGGATTGGAGAAGACAGTGGAGCCTTGAGAGGCAGAGCAATGCAGTCATGGGGCTGAAGATGGAGTTGCAGAGGGCTTCCCAAGCACAGGCCCCCACTAGAATACAGGCTATTTATGTAGAGTCCAAGACTGTGAGACCTGGCCCCAAAGGTTGTTTTTTTCTCTTCTTTTCTTTTTTCCTCCCGTTAGCTACTTTGGAGTAGGAGTGGGGGTTATATCTGGTTTCCCTGTTTTCATTCTCAACAAGTCAGAATGAAAAACTCCATGATACATGGCCATGGGAGTTACACAGGTTTTATTCTCATCCTGTCCAGGAACATGATCAGTATCTCAGAGAGGCAGACAAGGAAAACGTCAGAAGAGAAACTTACCGGACATGTGAGTTGTAGATGTTAAAGGACAGACAGACAACAGCTAGGACAATGCCCAGGCTGGAGAGAACTGAGACGGAGATAAAGAGTTTCTGTGACAGGAAGCGGAATGTCTTGATGACCAGGGTCTGGTCAGCTGGGGGGGACCCTCCTGCATGGCACAGGGGAGGAAGAGGGGAAGGGAAAAGAGAAGGGAAGGAGGACAAAGGAATGAAGACGGGATAGGAGAAAAGGGCAAAGAACTAGATTGCTGATGGACATTCAGTCATTGGCTGGGGACATGAGGCCCTAACTGCACTGGACAGAGGTTACTGCAGGCAGAATGCTCAGTGCCACTGGGGCCGTTAGGAAGCAACCAGAAATGAGATGAGAAGATGGAGTGAATGGTCTATCCATAGGTTGGGAAATGCTGAGGCATGTCCCCAAAGTTGTAGTCTTTGTTTTTGTTTGTTCTTTAAGTTTTTCTGTCTTTCTTACAGCAAAGGAAAATGGGAGGAGAAAGAAGGGGATCATTAAAAAATGTTATAAGGTTTCTTATAACCCAAATCAAAGTTTTAAATGACAATTATGGAATCATAAAGCTAAAAAGGCCTTGAAGTATCTAGTGTGGACACCTATTCTTAAGACAAACAAAAAAAGAAGGAAAGCTAATCTGAAATTTTAATCCTGGCAGGGTAATATTCCCAAATATGTTTTCCAGTTATTATTAGGGGGAAGTTCAAATTTGTCAGAGTTCACCAAAAAAAACTAATTTCAATTTGCTTAGTTTTTTTTTTAAAGAATAATTTAGGCCATGCAGCATTTATAGCAATCCAGAACATTGTCCTAAATTCGAATTGTAAAAAAAAAAAAAAAAGGGCAAAACTCCAGCAGTGCTGGGAATGACTGGATATCTGCTGGGCAGGGCAGACGGCAGCCATCTTCAATGGTTGGGCCTCCCCTTCATTCTCAAGGAGGCTTTCTTTTATCAGTAGGTCCTTCCTTTTGTCCACCTTCAGTTTCTCTCCTATGTCCTATCATTTAGACCAAGTACACAAAGAATAACTGCTTGCTTTCTCTCTTTAAAAAGTATATTTTGAGGGATGTAATACTACCTATTAGGTACAAGGTGCACTGTTCGGGTGACAGGCACACTAAACGCCCGGACTTCACCACTATGCAATATATTCATGTAACACAACTGCACGTCTACCTCTAAATTACATAAAAATAGGAAAATTTTTAAAAATACATATAAAAATAAAAAGCACATTTTGGCAGATGACAATTACATGAGGTTTTCCCTCCTCCTCCATAGTTTAAGCAACCGTTTTCCTGACAGAGACAGACAAAGAGACAGCTCTGGGCTTGAAGTAGCTGGTTCAAATATATCAAGACACCAGGACATCTGGGAAACCCAAATGGAGTTTCCATTTCCCGCCCTCTGCCCACCCCCTGCCTCTAATCCCCAGTTACCCCAGCAATGCACCATTAAAAATAGTACTAACCACCGCCTATTCCCTCTCCAAATACACCAGTCTCCCCTACCCACGCCTTAGGGGTTGTATTCACTCTCACTTAACCCTTTCTCCTGGCCCAGCTGCCAGCCACATTCCAACCTAACAGTCTCTACCATTCCATCCTCACTCAAAGGCATGACTTTTTCCCTTGACTGTCGAGAGGGGCTGAAGGAAAATACAAACAAGATCCACTCACCAATCCATTTATCTGTTTTGGACCAGGAAAGATCATCCTTGGTGCTGTCATAGTAGCCAATCTTCTTGTAGCTGCCACCTGGGCAGACGACAATAAAAGGAGTGACCACAGGTAGCCAAAGAGCTGATCCTAGGCATTTTCAACTTCCCACTTCCCTAGAGCTTTGCATGGTTGTATCTGATTTTATTTTCACCTGAGGCCCTAAGGATGCTTGGAAGGACCTACGAGACTCTTGAATCAGCAACATGACTTAAAAGCAATATAAGGTGGTTCCCAAGACAACTCAAATAAATAAGAATATCTATGTTTAAAAGTCTTCAGTGAGGAGGCTCCACAACATGTCTGCCACCTATTCCATTCCTCACACCTCTCTCGGCGAGATGTCTCTCACTTTGATTTTGGCTTCTAAAGCTTTACACATATTTCTGCTTATTCTTCCTCTCATGATGGGCAGGCTCTATTTTCCCAGTGGCTTTCATTTTAATTTTAGAACATTCTCTTCTGTTGGCTTGGGTTTTAATTCCTTGGATAAGTTATATCTGCCTCTTAAAGCGCCATTGAGTAAAATTTGGTCATTTCTAAGATTTCTGTTCTAGAACTGTTTCCGTTACCATAACTTTTCCTTCAAAAGCCAACTCACACTCCTTTCACCATGGCTGAAGTCCATTTCCTCTTGTCCTGGATACAAAGAGGAGCTGAAAGGATGTGGAGGTGGGGAGAAAGGAAGAAAGAAACTTTTCACAGGAGGCCAAGAAATAGCTCTCTTGGCCATGCCGTAAAAGACTGAGAGCCGAGTGGAGCAGAAAAATTAACTCCTAGAAGTTCTGCAAATACCTGTGTGCTCAGTTTCAAGAAAATACAATCTACAAAAGCCAAGCTATACACATTGAAGCTTTACACAGCAAGGAAATTTGGCAGATTCCCTTAAAAAAAAAATAGCGGTTCTCCTAGATTCAGCTTTCTTGAGTCTAACTGACAGGTCATCAACCTCTCAACCCAAGCCACTCAAGGGGAAATTCCTGAAATTAATGGAAGCCACTGGGAAAGAGAGTAGCTGTTTTTAATTTGCATGTCTCTTTTCTTTTCTTTTTTCTTTGAGACAGAGTCTTACTCTATCACCCAGGCTGGAGTGCAGTGGCGTGATCTCAGCTCACTGCAACCTCTGCCTCCTGGGTTCAAGTGATTCTCCTGCCTCAGCCTCCCAAGTAGCTGGGACTACAGGCACCTGCCACCACACCCAGCTAATTTTTTTTTTTTTTTTTGTATTTTTGGTAGAGACAGGTTTCACCAAGTTGGTCAGGCTGGTCTCAAACTCCTGACCATGATCATGATCTGCCTGCCTTGGCCTCCCAAAAGTGCTGGGATTACAGGGGTGAGCCACCACACCCAGCCTGCACACCTCTTTTCAAGAGCAAAACCAGTGCAACTCAAAGACATCAATCTTCTTGTAGTTAAGCTTATTATTATTATTATTTACAAGCTTGATGAACAGAGTTAAAAGAGAAGGGCAGAAGTTGGGAGGTGCCAGGGCAATCTTGTGATGTCTCTGGCATTCTTCCCCAGGGGGCATCCCAGCCCAGCCCCAGCCTAGCCCCCATGTCCGGTCCCCTCCTGCCCCTGTACTAACCCTGAAGCTGCTCGATAAGCGTCCATGCCATCCGAGAGCCGCTGGCATCAAACACCACATGGCCCTGAGGGAAGGAACATGTGGAGCAAGGCAAAGGAGACAAAAGCAAGAGTGAAAGAGAACATCAGGGACTCTTTAAATCCTTCTGTTTTTGATGTAATTGAGCCTCTGAATGAATGCTATTTATGGCATTTGCCTGCATATAGGACATACCCCAGATGCCCATACCCTAGATTTTAGAAACATTATTCTTTGGAGAAGGAGCTTCACTTATGAGATTTGAATGGGAAAAAATCCCCAGACAGAACACCAGCAGGCTTCTGGTTGTGTGGCCTAAGCAAGTCAGCAAATCTCTCTGGAAACTAATCTTTTCATTTTAAAAGGAATAAGAAGATGACCTTTCAGACTGTTTTGTCTTTCAAAATCCTATAGTTCTCATCTGACTCATGAATACTTGGTCTAGTTTGAAAAGAAATGAGGGGAGGGGTTTAAAAAAATGGAATACATCATTTTTTTTCCTCTAGTCTTTGATGGGTTCTTCTAATTTGAAGGTCCCTACTTCTCTGGTCGGAGACTGATTCTGCAAAGAAGTAACTGAGAAAAACAGAGAATGCATGTTTGTAGAAGGTGCCTCTTGGGAGTCTCTCTCAAGATTGGGAAGACAGGGGAGTATGAAGGAAGTTTTAACTCACAGAGACACCCTCAAAGGACGAAGAGTTCATTGCCCGGTAGATTTGGTCGGTAATGGTCTGGTTGTTGTAGTTGAAGTCCTCCAGGCGCACACCAGAACGGCCGCCTCCTCCAGATGTCTTGTTCAGGGCCAGTGCCAAGGCCCAGATGGCATCATAGGCCAGCGGTGCCTCCTGGAAGCCTCCTGTCTCCTCAGGGTGTCTTTTCAGTCGCTTGGTTAGTTTCTCCACAAATTCCTGGGATGTCTTGGGAGGAAAAAATCATGAGGAAAGAACTGAAATGTGTGTGGGTGTGGGGGAAGGGGTGCAATCCAATTCTGACTCAATCACTTCTACTTGAATGGATGGTTTGTGTTACTGTTGTCAGATTGGACACATGTACATTCAAAATCTTTAACTATACCCATGTGTCTGCCTTAGATCGGAAGCTACTAGACTAGAGTAGGTATTAGCTGTGTCTGATGGTGTTAGTGTGTACAGTTGCTAGCTCAGAACTGCAAACAGAGAATTTTGACAAACACTCTGGATAATTAGTGGCAAAGGATGGAAGGTAGAGCAGAGTAAAGGAGGAGACATGGATATTCCAATGAAGAGCTGTGACACTGATGTTCTCTGATCCTTCTGACTTTCTTCATAGAGTTAACCCAGGATCTAACAGCTCCTACAATTCCAAAAGATTCTAGAAAAGGTGATAGCAGTCTTCTCACTCTGCTTGCCAGCCAGGAGGATATTTCTTCAGCATGCTAACTTCTTGCCATTCTTGTGTGCTTTTGGTTCACTGCCTCTTAGAAGGCTTTCAGAAGAATGAAAACTACAGAAATACCCTTCACATTTTTGAAGTCCATTATCAATCCTACCCACACCCCTCCCAACACTCAACCTTCTTTTTCCATGAAAGCTAAAAAGAATGATAGTTCCTTTAACTCTCTCATGAACTGGGTCAAGAGACCTGACTTCATATACCTTGCAGTAACCTTGTTTGGCTAAATAACTGTAAGTAAATTACTTAACCTCTTGGAACTGCATTCTACATACTGGAGAAAATCACATCATTCCTTCCTTACCTCACAGAAACCATACAAGGAAAAGCTTAGCAACTACTTCTTGGGAAACCACAAGTAATACACAGGGGACCATACAAATAATTGTTTGGGTTTGGAATGTTTTAACACAAACGGTAATGAAAGAATAAATAGATGAATGAAGAATAAATAAATAACTTTGTTCCTCATGCCTTGCTCACTTTTCTCTCCAACTTTCTAGAGAGATAGAGGAGTGAGATACGCAAAGGGCACAGGCAAGGTACAGCAGTTGCTACTACACTGGGCTTTGAAGGAGCCTGGGCTTTGAAGATGCAATGGGCCTAGGTTCTACCCTTGAGGACAAGACCAAATCCCATGCCCTCTCTTAATCATCAGCATCTAGCACTGTGCCCAACCATAATGAAGTAACAATAAATGTCCATTGGATTAGGCCAGTGAAAATACTCTGTAAAGTATTTAATAGTAGATACGTCTCATTATACATTTGTCCAAACCCATAGAATATATAACACCAAGGGTGAACTCTAATGTAAACTATGGACTTTGGGTGATTATGATGTATCAATGTAGGTTCATCAGTTGTAACAAATGTACCACTCTGGCGGAGGATGTCGATAATGTAGAAGGCTATGCATGTGGGAAGCATATGGGAAGTTTCTGTACCTTCATCTCAATTCTGCTGGGAAACTAAAACTGCTCAAAAAAAAAAAAGGCCAGGCACAGTGGCTCACACCTTTAATCCTAGCACTTTGGGAGGCCAAGGTAAGCAGACTGCCTGAGCTCAGGAGTTAAAGACCAGCTGGGCAACATGGTGAAACCCCATCTCTACTAAAATACAAAAAATTAGCTGGGCATGGTGGTGTGCACTTGCAGTCCCAACTACTCAGGAGGCTGAGGGCTGAGGTGAGAAAATCACTTCAACCCAGGAGGTGGAGGTTACAGTGAGCTGAGATGACGCCACTACACTCCAGCCTGGGCGACAGAGCAAGACTCCGTCTCAAAAAAAAAAAAAAAAGGCATTATAAAAAACAAGTCAGGCTGGGCACAGTGGCTCACACTTGTAATCCCAGCTCTTTGGGAGGCCAAGGAGGGTGGATCACCTGAGGTCAGGAATTCCAGACAGCCTGGCCAACCTGGTGAAACCCGTCTCTACTAAAAATACAAAAATTAGCTGGGTGTGTTGGTGGGCTCCCGTAATCCCAGCTACTTGGGAAGCTGAGGTAGAAGAATCGCTTGAACTCAAGAGGCAGAGGTTGCAGTGAGCAGAGATCACGCCACTGCACTTCAGCCTGGGCGATGGAGTGAGACTCTGCCTTTAAAAAAAAAAAAAAAAAAAAAAAAGGCAGCCAGGCACAGGGGGCTCACGCCTGTAATCCCAACATTTTCATTTTCAGAGGCCAACGCAGGAGGATTCCTTGAGCCCAGGAGTTTGAGACAAGACTGGGCAAAACAGAGAGGACCCAACTCTACAAAATTTTTTTAAAAATTAGCCAGACTTGGCCTGGGCACGGAGGCTCACATCTGTAATCTCAGGACTTTGGGAGGTCAAGGCGGGCAGATCATGAGGTCAGGAGTTCAAGACCAGCCTGGCCAACATGGTGAAACCCTGTCTCTATGAAAAATACAAAAATTAGCTGGGCACGGTGGCTCACGCCTGTAATCCCAGCACTTTGGGAGGCTGAGGCGGGTGGATCACCTGAGGTCCGGAGTTCGAGACCAGCCTGAGCAACATGGAGAAACCCTGTCTCTACTAAAAATACAAAATTAGCCGGGTGTGGTGGCGCATGCCTGTAATCCCAGCTACTCCGGAGGCTGAGGCAGGAGAATGGCTTGAACCTGGGAGGCGGAGGTTGCTGTGAGCCAAGATCGCGCCATTGCACTCAAGCCTGGGCAATAAGAATGAAACTCTGTCTCAAAAAAAAAAATACAAAAATTAGCTGGGTGTGATGGTGGGCTCCCGTAATCCCAGCTACTCAGGAGGCTGAGGCAGGAGAATCGCTTGAACCCAGGAGGCGGAGGTTGCAGTGAGCCAAGATCATGCCATTGCACTCCAGCCTGGGCAACAGAGCAAGACTCCATCTCAGAAAAAAAAAAAATTAGCCGGACTTGGCTTGGAGCAGTGGCTCACGCCTGTAATCCCAGCACTTCAGGAGGCTGAGGAGGGTGAATCATGAGGTTAGGTGTTCGAGACCAACCTGACCAACATGGTGAAACCCCATGTCCACTAAAAATACAAAAACTTATCTGGGCATGGTGGCACGCACCTGTAATCCCAGCTATTCAGAAGGCTGAGGCAGGAGAATCACTGGAACCCAGGAGGCAGAGGTTGCAGTGAGCCGAGATCACACCATTGTGCTCCAGCCTAGGCAACAGAGCAAGACTCTATCTCGAGAAAAAAAAAAAAAGTTAGCCAGACTTGGTGGCATATGTCTGTGATCCCAGCTTACTTGGGAGGGGCTGAGGTGGGTGGATGACTTGAGCCCAGGAGGTCAAGGCTGCAGCGATTGCACCACTGCACTCCTGCCTGGGCAGCAGAGGGATACTCTACCTCAAAAAAAAAAAAAAAAAAGGCTGGGCGCGGTGGCTCACACCTGTAATCCCAGCATTTTGGGAGGCCGAGGCGGGCGGATCACGAGGTCAGGAGATCGAGACCATCCTGGCTAACACGGTGAAACCCCATCTCTACTAAAAAAAAAAAAAAAAAAAAAAAAGTCTGTTGGATAGATAAATGGATGAATTCATATTCTAATCATTTTACCTGCTATGAAATCTCAAACAAGTTATTAAACCTCACTAGTTGGTTATTCAGCTTTAAAATGAGAATAATACTATCTAAAATAGTATGAAATGAAATTAGAACATGTATAAAAATGCTGGGTATGAAGTAAGTTACATTTTCTCTACGTGAATTTCCTTGACTCTCAACCTCATCTTTGTTATTGATACTCAGATCTATAATTTCAGCCCAATATTTCAAGTCCATATTTCTTTTCTTTCTTTCTTTCTTTTTTTTTTTTTTTTTTTTGAGATGGAGTCTTGCTCTGTTGCCAGGCTGGAGTGCAGTAGTGCGATCTTGGCTCACTGCAACCTCTGCCTCCTGGGTTCAAGCGATTCTTGTGTCTCAGCCTCCCAAGTAGCTGGGATTACAGGCACACGACACCACACCCAGCTGATTTGTGTATTTTTAGCAGAGACGGGGTTTCACCATGTTAGCCAGGCTGGTCTTGAACTCCTGGCCTTGTGATCCACCTGCCTCAGCCTCCCAAAGTGCTGGGATTATAGGCGTGAGCCACCGCGCCCAGCCTCAAGTCCATATTTCTAACTGACTCTGAGGCATTTTTAATGTATGATGAATAATCTCAAAATCAAAATATCCAAGATGAAGCTCAATTTTTTCTTACTCCCAAACAGCTCCCAGTAAATGAGACTGAAGCCTTGGAATTACATCAGACCCTTTCAAATCACTGAGTCCTCTTAACTCTTTTGTTGAAATGTTTCATTGATATCGATCCCTCCTTACACAGGATGATGATGATAATGATAACGATGATGGTGGCTAACATGTATACAGTCCTTAGGACGTATCGAGCATTTTCCTGAGGAAACTATATTACCTTATTTAATCCTCAAACAATCCAATGAGGTGTTATTATCCCCATTTTAGAGATAAGAAAACTGAGGCACAGAAAAGTTATATAACTTGCCTATAAAAAAGTTATACTATTAATGAGTAGCAGAGCTAATCCATACTCTTACCAGCCACCCTACACAGTCTCTGTACATGAGACTGCCTCTCTCTAAGAGCACCTGCACAAATAGCAGCTAGGCTAATACTTTGAGTAGTCTTTTGGCTTCAAATTGAAAGATTGGTCTATCCAATCTTCAGTTCAAGGTAAATATGGCATCAAAAAAATCACCCAGAAAGAAAGGGATTAATCTGCTCAGCACGATGCGGTCCCCTGCTCAGGTGGTCAGACCCTGTGCTCACGCCAGGTCACTACCACTAACACGCCTAACCACTGGGGGCACCACTGCTCCTGCCACCCCAAGAGTAAAGAAGAGTAGAATGCTTCCCCCTTGAGTCAGTAAAGATACAGTTATAGATTGTCAAAGAGACACTCTACTCTGCAGCTTAAGGAAATCTGAACAATAAAGACCCCTCAACCCACAGCAATTAGTTAATCAACCAAGTGCAAATTTATACCTAATTTTTTTAACAGCCTTGTCTGGCTCTCAAGAATGGATGCTTGACAGTGGGCTAAAATGTATATCTTGAGGTAGCTTTTTAGTTTGTACTGGTCCTAGGTCTGATGGGATCTCTACCCCAATCAAGATTTCCTCACAATCTTATCTCCAGGATGCCACCTCCCACATTCCCCTCTAGCCCACAGCTACATTTCTCTAAAACCACTCTAACCCACTCTCCATTTCCACATATTGCCCCTAAAGATGTTTTCTCTAAACTAGGGTTTCTCATTCTCTGCACTATTAACATTTTGAGCAAGATAATTCTTTGTTGCCAGGGGCTGTGCTTTGTAGGATATTTAGAATCATCTTTGGCTTCTACACATTAGATATCAGGAGCATGTATCCCTCCCCATCCCCTACCCCCAACTGTAACAACCAAAAATGCCTCCAGATAGTATAGCGTCTGAGTCTAGGGTAGTAGTTGAAAACCACTACCCTAACTAATAGTTCTCGAGGTGTGATCCCCAGACCAGTACATCTGCATCCCCAGGGACTTGCTAGAAATGTCAGTTCTCAGGCCCTAGCCCAGATCTACTGAATCAGAATTTCCAGGGGAAGGGCCTGATAACCTGTGAACTAACTACCTTTCCAGGTGGTTCTGACGGATGTTAAAGTTTGAGAACTATTGATCTAAACATAAGGCCATCCTTAGGGAATAAAAGCAATTCTGCTTCTTTTCTAAGTCTCCATGGCTCCGGCCCCCTAGGTCCAACCCTTGCTTTGATCCACTTCTATTTGTGCTGTTTGATTAATCTATAATCTCTTTTGCCCCTAACCTATTGTTAAGACTGCTCTATCCTCTTCAGAAAACATTGGCTTCCCCACTGGCATTTTAGGCTGGTCCCACTGGAAGCCCTATGGCCTCAAAAGCAGGAACCATCTTTCTCTAGACACAAAGTCAGAAAGGGACCTTCCAAGTCTTCCCACCCCAATGCTCAGGTGTCCCTCTATGTCCCTAACCATCTCTCTGTTCTCTCTCTCTCTCTTTTTGTTTAGAGCTGGGGGTCTCACTATATTGCCCAGGCTGGTCTTGAACTCCTGGGCTCCAGTGATCCTCTGCCTTGGCCTCCCAAGGTGCTGGGGACTACAGGTGTGAGCCACTAGATCCAGCCAAATCCCTGTTTTCTGTCAGCCTCCTCTAGCTCCCTGCTATAAGACAGAAGCAACGATTGGCAAGTCCTGGGCTCAGGGCACCAACAAGTCTTTCTGGCTTTGGTAGCCAGTTCCAATACTTTCCCAGGTTTTATGGATGACTCACCTCTTGGGTACTCTACAGGAAAGTGATCTTCCAAAATTTTTTCATTGTATTTTTCAACTAACATACCTTAAAACATAGAGTCCATTTAGAATGTCCCAAAACAGTGTGTATCATCAGAGTCCATGTGGCAGCAGATCTTTCATCACAACACACCACCAGAGTCAACTTCCTAAATCTTATTTCTCCTTTGCTCAGCAATTGCCAGTAGCTAAACAGTGTTAGCAGATAAAAGTACAAACTTTTTAGTCAGGCTTCATGGTTTTCCATGGGAAGTGATGAGCAGAGCAGTTTGGAGCCAGATTTAACTAGGATTCAATTCCAGCTGGACTGCTGAGTAGCTGCATGACCTGAGACAAGTCATTAAACCACTCTGAGTCTCATTTTCCTGGTCTACAAAATGTAGATAAGTCCACATCAGAGTTTTGCTGTTAGAATCCCTGAAATCATGAATCTAAGTACCACACAAATGCCACTGTTAGTAAAACTTTTTAAATCAAGCTATTTTGGGGCTTTACAACCATTAACTCACCCCTAACATGCTCTCCAAAGCAGGTACACACTTGGTGTAATAAGCAGACACATAGGTGGCCGTATCGAGCTTACCCAAAATTCCTGTACTCTTTACAATGTAGTGCTGAGCAACAAAGAAGCCTCTTCCCCTACGCCCACACCCACACTCACTTCTGCCCCTCAGCTGCAGGGCTGCCCCAGCCCTCTCAAATCAGAGAATGCGCCTCCTCGCTCCAAGTCTGTCATTAACCAGCTGTCTGGGGCTAAATGATTTCAAAAGCCCCTTCTCCACATAAAATTCTAAAAAAAGAATCATTAAAAAAAGCAACAGGATCCAAGCTAATTGCATATCAATCATGAGTGAATATTAAGCAACTCTAAAACACTAACATAAATCACCAAGAAAATGAAATGCAATTCTGCCCAGACACAGTGCTCCTGTAAAGGTGTGCTTGAGTATACAAGCATCCATATTATCATTAATGCCGGTTCCTCCTGACTTCTCACCAACTGCTCCTCGTCTCCATGGTAACAGCCCTTCCACTCATCAGGAACCTACTGAACATACAACTCCATCGTTTTTTTTTTTTTCTCTCTCTACCCAAGGAAGTCAGAGCAAAGGTAGGATCCACAGGAAACATAATGCAGACAAGTTCAGGGTGGGCACAGCCCCCTCTTCTCCTTTATATCCAAATTCCGCACCCTCTCCCTGCCACCCTTTCCCCTGCAAGGCCCCCTCAGTCCTCTCCACCCTCCCAGGTGCCAGACTGCAAGTCCCCACACTCTCACCATGTTGGAAATGCTGCGGGTATTGGCAGGATTCAGCATGACAATCTCAGTTGTGATGTGGCCCTCCACCGCCTCAGTCATCTCATCCACTGTGCAGTTGATAGAAGGGTCGTAGATCTTGAACCAATTGTCAGCATACCACCCAATGAGGAACCAGACGTACTTCTTCCCAAAGAGACGCTCCTTGTACACCTGAATACAGAGGAGAATGGCTGAGTTTTTGTTTGCTCATTTGTTTGTTTTTGTCTTATCTCACTTGATACTATTTAGCCTCTTGGGAATCAGGGAAGAGCAGTAGAACTAAAAAGAGAAATCTACAAGTCTTGGGGATAGTAGGAAAGGCTGACAATTCTTCCTTCTAAGTTTCTCCCCAGCCCCTGTATTTCTGAGTGGCCTTTTCCAGCCAGTCAGGACAGATGGAATTCATGGGCTTCTCAGGAAACACAAAGCAGTAGAAAAATGAGATCTGAAGAAAGTATCATGTGTGTGCAGACAAGGGATGCAGTCAGAGCCAACAGACAGAGACATCCTATGAATCGTCACCTCAGATCATATGCTATCAACTCAGGCACAGATGCCAAGAGGAGGCCCCACAAGAAAACCAAGGGAAACTCCCACCCAGTGCCCCTCCCTCTTCAGATCCAACTCCACCTCACAAAAAACTTTCCGGGCTTCAGTCTCATAGAAAAGTCCCACGATGATTCGGGCATCCTGGCGCTACAACAGAGAAAGAAACAGCTCCTGAGGGATGCCCGGGAATGCCTGAGGGGCTAAGCCAGATGTCTTCACAGCTTTGATTTCCCATCCCAAAGTGCTTAGTGCAGGGTAACGCTCAACGTATAGTGAATAAACGTCAACTGGAAGATGGAGCTAAACTTCCCCAGGAGATGCTATTGCCTCAGAGAATCAAAACCTGCCCCCGCCTGGCTTTCCTCTCCAACCAGTCACTGTCCCCCAGCTTGGTCCCTCCGTAAACAGAGCCCACCACTCCCAGCCATCTGACCTTCAGGTTTTTGACGGGCACAGCTGGATCTGAGAAGAAACTCTGGCGGAAAGTAATCTCAATTCCAGCCTCCTTCACTCGTTCCTCCAGGTCGTCCAGAGTCTTGGGTGGGAATAAAAAACAAGTTGGAAAAACACGGGGTGCATGAGGGAATAAAGACCAGAGAGGTTAACTGGGGATTTCAGAGCAATACTCAGATAGAGCAAAGAAGCAGCCATTCTGAACCTTCCTTCAACAGCTTCTGTCCCTGAAGTGAGGAGTTCGGGAAGGCATCTGGTCTTAGGATGTGGATTCCAAGTGGGAAGGTGAATGGTGAGCCCCTGCTGAGGCTCTGTGTGGGGGAAGCCACTCCATTCACCCACTCCTACCACTGAAGGCAAAGATGGGGTAAAGAAACATAAAGGAACCAGGAAAAGACAAGGCAAGGACTGGGACAGACAGCATGATGTCAACCTCAAGAGGCAAATGGGCAGACAGACAAAGGATCAGAGAAGAATGGTCTGAATCAGAGTGAAAGTGGGGGAGGATTAAAGGGCCACTGAACACAGTGGATAGAAGACCCAAAGAATAGAATAAAAGGGAGGGAGCAGACTGCCTTCTTCAGATGTAGAGCCTGTATTTCCTCTCTACCTCCCCAAATCTCCCTCTTCCCCCTCAACCTCTCCTTGTCTGTCGGCTTCTCTCTCTTAGTACCAACTACCAGATCCATGCAGCTGCCTTTCTGCCCCTCTCTCTCCTCTCCCTCATTCCTCTCTCTCTCTCTCTTTCCTCTCCCTCTCTCCTCTGTAATCCACTGGCTCCATCCCCTCTGTTCCCATTCACACCCACCCACCATCCCCCTTGAAAGCCTCTGGAATCTGCTGCCTTCCTGGATTCCTATCTCATCTTCGCTCCCATCTCTTGCCCCCACTTTGGATTGAACCTACTTTAACAGAACTGAGTCATTCTGGGTCTATATGTCTGGGGAACAGGGCATCAAACAGGGGAAAAAAATCATAAAATCATAAAGACAGAGAGGATCCCAAAAACTCAACTCATTCTTTCCCCTGGCTACAGAAAGAACTGCACTTAATCCACATGGAATGCGTTCTCTTTCAATGAAGAATCAAGTTCTTGCCCCTAAAAGTGACTCTCACGTCACATCTCCTGGTGCTGGAATTTGAGCTTATGTCCCTTTACCCCTTGCCCAACCCCTCCTCACCGAAGTGAAGACCTCAGTGGTCTGCTGGATGGTAGCAATCTTCTTCCAGCCCCACTTTTCAAAGAGTTTCACGCGGGTAGGGTTGTGGAGTGTGGCTGATGGGTGCGTTCGGAAGAAAGTGGGGAAACGCTGCCGGTTTGACAGGGCTGGTGAGCTGGAGCCATAGGAAAGCTGTGGGGCAGGGAGAGTGAGTGCAACAGGGTCTGTTCACTGAGGACACCAAGAGTGGCCAAGAGTTCCTTTAACCCTCTTCCTGCCTTTGGGTTTCTCTTCCTTACTCTCTCCAAACCTCCCCACCTCTGGTCTGCCTAAGGAAAAGAGATTCTCAAAGGCCCACACACCCCTCACAACCGGGATGCTCTTTCACTGATCTAATTTCAATTCCTTCTGAAGAAGGAGGTCAGCTGCAGCACTGTCAGGCCACTGTTGCTAGGAGGCTGCCTAGCTCAGGTCTGCAGAGGACTCTGAATCTTAGTAGCAGGTCCTCCACACTCCTTTTCAATACAAACCCACAATCGCCATCGTCCCTTCAGTAGAGCTCAAAAGGGAATGACCCCATCTTCTGACCCCCATAGCCCTGCTTACCACAATGAGGTTCCACATCCTAGCAGCCTCAGCCACCAGCGTGGAGACAGAGCTGCAGCCAGGCATAAGGATGATCTTGATAGGGTCGTTGTAGAGCAGCTCATATAGGTACTTGGTGGCTTGGCCTGGATCACACTGAAAGACAAGAGGAGATGAGGGCAAGCTCTCCTGGGGCCCCTCCCCTGTCTGCAATTCCTGCTCTTATCTTTCTCGAACAAATTAGTTCCTTTCTCAATTACTCACTTTCATCATTAATTACCGTTTTCTTCTCCTTTCTGGCATCTCTTCCTGTCAAGTGCCTTTTTTCTCCTCTTTCATTAAACTTCCTTCTCTGTCTTCCATCTGGAGCCTTACCCATCACCTCTCCTGCACACCCCTCCTTTGGTATTAATGAACATACCACCTTACCTCCTTTCAGCTCACCCTCAGACATCCCCCTTCCCTCTGTCACCAAGCCCTTTACCCCATGTTTCTATGCTTCAAACACCAGTGGGTGGAAGAAGTCAGTAGGAATACGGTAAACTCTTTCCACATCCCCAGATAGCTTGCTCAAAGCCATATTATGAAAATTCCTTCCTCACCTCTGCAAACCCCTTCTCCCCACCTTCCATTTGTTTCCTCCCTCTTCTCTTTTCAGAGCTAGTGATAAGTAAAGAGAGAACAGGAACAAGACCAGTAGGGGGTCCCGCTCAGTGATCCATCCCTCCTGCTGGGCGCTGACATTTGACAGGTCCATTAGAAAAAAAGACACTGGGGGGTGGAAGCAGGGAAGAATGTAGGATGAGGAAAGAACAGAGAGAATGAATAGAATGGAACTCTCAAGAAACCAGACAATTTGAGAGGTGCCTTAAAGAGAGGCTTGGAGCTAGGGAAAGTAAACAAGCAGAAAGCTGGAGAAGAAAGGAAGCTTGGGAGGAGGGGAAATGGGGGAGGAAGAGCCAGCCTTGGGTCTCCCACTGCCTGTTCCCCTCCCACTGATATATGACATTTCAGAAGCTGCTGGAACCCCAATGCATGTGAAGACGAAATGGCAGCCAGTGGGGAGCCAGGGCAGAGGGGACACAGACAGGGGGCTCAGGGGACTAAGGAGGGTGAAATGTTGCCAGGAGGGGAGGATAAGTAGAAAGGAAATAAAGAAAGCACTCTGGAGCCTGCTTACCTCCCACTGAGGCCTGACATTTGGGACACGGTGGGAAGTTGGAGAAGGGGGAGCCAGGGGAAGCTGTTGGAATCTGAAGAACCAGCAGTCACTGAGAATTCTCTGTTGCCCACCCTACCCTCACTCTGGCCAAGGGCAGTGCTCAACAACATTGGAAGGTTTTCTCTTTATGCCTCCCACTAGGGCAACTTTGTAAATCTTTACCATTCTCAGGACCCACCTTCCTGCACTCTCCCCACATCTATTACTCCAGATCCTGCTCCCAGCTTCTCCCACAGCCCCTCAGTGCCCCTCCACTTCTCTAAAGACAGGGTTAATAGGAACAATGAGGACATACAAGAACATATAAGATACATATCAACAGGGCAAGGCATGCCCCCGATTTTGTTTCCTGATTTCTTATCTACCTTTTCTTGCAACCGTTTCCCTCTTCCACACACTATTCATCACTGCAGATTCTCTCCACCACGTGATTCTCTCCCCCTCCCCAATAGATTTCCTTAGTTCTCCTCCCTCTCTTTGCTCTTGCAAGGATCTGGATTTGCAGGCAGGAAACCGACTCATTCCAATTGACACATTCTGGTTCTTCTGCCTTCCCATCCCACCCCGCTTGATGCCTCTGATGTTCTCCAGTTCCCTTCTCCCAGGTCCCACGTCTGCTCCCCGCCACCTCCAGGGAATCACCTGTCATGGTGGATGAGTTTGAGCTCACAGCCAGGCCTCCCCTATCTCCTGTGATCCCCTATCATAAAGCCTGCACCCATCTCTCCCTGTCATTTTCTTCACACTCCACTCCCCAAAACCAATGATCTCTCTGACTGTCCCAAGTCTGACCCTCTACCAGATCTGATCCTCTACTTCTCTTCCTGCCTCCCGTACCCTAATACCTAATTATTTTCCTGTACCCTGCTGCTCTTCCCATAGGCATTCTGGGGTTAGCTTACAGCTCAGGAATCCACCAATATAGGATGTCTATTAGTAAAAATACAGATAAATACTTGGGATTCATCCCTGACCAAGGAGCTAGAATCTGTATTTTTAACAAACTCCTCTGGTGATTCTTATGTACACTGAAGGCTGAGAACCACGAGAAAGTAACAGTCAAAAAGGATTTTAAGTTCTCTTGCCAAGCTCCTGATAATCCTTGTGCTCTCTTCTCTTCAAGCACCCTACCTTCAACCTCACTTCTGTCCCCTCACACACCTATCCCAGACACACACCTATTTCTAGGTGTATAGTGATGTTCTAAAAATGAATATAAATCCTTGGATCACCCCAAGGTTGATATTTGGTAAGATCACCAAATTCTCACCTTGTGTACTCTATTTCACCCTAACCCAATTCCTTAAGTCTCTGGGGCCACATGTCAGTGAAGATAAATTTGAGATCTTAAATCTCCTTCCCTGTGTCACATCCTTCCCTGCACCCCCAATTATTCACGTAGGGGAGAGGGGTGGGAAAAAAAACCTCATTATAAGCTATCCCCTAATACCCCTGGACCCAAATTTGCTTACCTTCTCTCTCTCCCTCAACTCACCTCCCTAATCCCTACATCCCATTTCCCTTCTCACATCCTAGAGGCCACAATGCTATAAGGGAAGGGAAGGTCAGGACCCAAGTTCCATAAGGTGCCCCAAGATCTCTCATTATCCCCACGCTACCTCCTTGCCCCTCTCCCCCACTGCCATTCTTTTCTTTTCTGTTCTCTTCTCCTTGTATGTTGACTCTTCTTCATCCCCATGCTATTGTGGGGGTTCCCATGTGGATCCCCAATCCAATTCATTTTCCCAGTGCCTCTGCCCACCTCTTGATCATTAGCCTTCCCCAATCACCATATGCCATCTATCCCACAGTCTGGGAATGCTCAACAGGGTTGGGAATAGAAGGATGAGAAGGAGTCAGGTAGGGCTCACCACTACCTTGCTGTTTTGTTAAGATAAATAAACTAGAGCTCTCAAGTCTCTCAAAATTTTCCTCATTCTGTCCCTATTCCTTCCAGCTCCAACCTACGCCAAGATTTTACCTTGTTACCATGGTAAATGTAAACCCCCAATCCAGCTCCCCACCTCTGACATTCCCTCCACCCCCAACCCATTCCAGGGTTAGTTTACTCCCTCAGAGGATCAGTGTCTCCTAATACCTTAAATCCACCACCAGTTTCTCCAAACCCCGACACTTCTGCGAGACTCCCGCAGCGGGGCAGAAGGGTCTGCCTTGCAGCATGCTTAACCATCTTGAGCCCCTAGACCCTCATCTTGGACCTCCAGCCCCTGCGACTCTCCCCAAGCTCCTGCACCCCCAGCCCATCTCCTGCCAGTCACACAAGGGAGGGGTCTGCCTCGCAATCCCAGAGACGACTCAGACAGATGGGGGCGCGTGCAGCTGGCTGGCCCCCTGCCCCGCAAGCCCCCACCTCCCACCCACCCCCATGTCCAGGGCTACCTTGCTGTCGTGGTGGATGAGCTTGAGCTCATAGTCCGGCAGGATGTCCCTGCGGCTATTCACGTCCTCCAGCGCCATCTCCACCGCGGGCTGGCAGGCCTGGCCCCCTGGCCAGCCCCCGCTCATGGGAAACAGTGCCCCGATGTACACTGCGCGCCGTTCTGAGGAGGGGTGCGGGGGGACCCGCGAGTGAGGCCGCGGGAGATGGGGGGAGTGGGAGGCCCACACCGGAGCCACCCCTGCCGCCATCACAACCAGAAGCGGCAGTGGCCACCCCACCCGGGCAAAAGGGGCCCCGGGCCCCATGGCGTGGGGGGCAGGGGTAGCTGTTGGGGAGCGTTAGGAGCTCAGGGGGGACACTTTTCCTGGGGAGGGCTGCTAAGAGGGTGCCGGGGAGGCGCCTCCATCCCTGATTTTGTGGGGAGGAGGGGGCGAGGGCCCCGGAGAAGCAGGGAAGGTTGGCTTCCTACGGCCCCCGCGGCTCTCGCCACCGTCGCCGCCACCGCGGACTCTCCTCGCGGACTGACTGACCGACGGAGGGGAGGAGGAGGAGCAGGAGGGAGATGTGGGGCTGGGAGGGGGCTCTGACGTCACGGGCGGCGCGCGGCAGCGGGGGGTGGGGGGGCGGGCGGGAGCTGGGGAGGCAGGAAGGGGGCGGGGAGGGAAGCGAGCGCCGAGGTGGGAGCGACAGTCGGAGGGGCGGGGAGGGGAGGGGGGATGCAACCTCGAGGAGGAAAGGAACGAAAGAGGAAGGGAGGGATCTCACTTAAGGGGACCCGAGGGGAGGAGAAATGGGGACGGGGCGTGCCAGGAGGGCGGGGTGGGCGGAGGGAGCCGCGGGAGGCTGAAGCACGGAGGAACCAGGGTAGGAAGGGAAGGATGCGAGTGGGACGGGAGAGAAACGGGGCTGGCGCCTGAGGTCTGAAGTGGGAGTATGAGTCGATACAGTGAAGCACTGAGGATGTGGGGGAGAGGAAACGGTTTTGGAGGGAACGAGTTGGGTACGGAAGGGAGGCTGGTTTGAGGGAGTGGTGGGGTCGTGGAAGGGAGCCTGGGGCTGGGTAGACAGAAGCCTAAGAAAGGGAGACAGGACATGGAATTGAGAAAAGACGAGGGAAGGGGTACACGGAAGGAAAAGATGTGGGGAAGAGCGCGAGAGGCCTGGCCAGGGTTGGGATGGGTGGGACAGGCTGAGAAAGTCCATTAGGTGAAATCCTAGGAGGCAGCAGGCTGGAAAAGGTTCCAGCGAAGGTCGCAAGGAACCCCACAGGGGAAAACGTGGTGGGAGCTCAGGGTCTCCCAGCACCCTGCCGCCCTCTGCTGGGCTCTGCCTGACACCGGCGAGGCTCAGTCTGGGAGGAGGTGGAGCCCAGGGAAGTGTAGCCAAGCAGGGACAAGGAGAGACCGCAGCCTCGTGGAAAACCGGGACTGGAGGCAGGAAACAGGTAGGGAGGGAAGGGGGTGGCCGCAAACTGGGGTGGGTTGGGGAAGGTGCGAAAGGACGACGCCCCGTAGCCTAAGGGCAGAATTTCAGGGGGGTGGAGGGTGCAGAGTGAAGGGGAGGGCATTGCAGTGCGCGCGGTAAGGGTTTCTCATCTCACCTGAGTGTGGCGTTCGATTCACTGGCAGCAGGAAAGACGGGGATCAGAGAAGAGTTACCACTGGCGCCCAGCTTCCCTGGCCTGATCCCCAGCCCCCTCCCACACCTGTCCATGCTGAAGACCGGGGAGAGCAGAAGCCTGCGTTTCTGAGGGGAGGGTGCCTGGGGATAAGAACAAGGTGGGTCTGGGGGTAAGGGGGTCAGGACTTATTTTCTTCTTCGATTTTTCATAGGACAACAGAATTTGAGACGGGAATGCCAATAGCTAAGTTTGGGGCAGATCTTGGTTCTGTGGTGCCTGAATATTACAAAATTGGGAGTCTTTAAGAAAAAAAATTACACATACAATTGGCTTTAAGCAATTGCTGTTAAAATCTTATTTCTGCAATTTTTACAAAAGCCTGTTACCATATGAACACATATCCATCGAGCCCTCTATATTATTAGAGCACAGGAAGAGGGCCCTGTAGGTGAGGAACCTTGAAGTCTAAGTTTCAGTAGTGTCATAAGTCCACCCCTGGATGGGACTCTCAATTTCCAGAATAAAATGGTAAACTAGAAGCAGAATAACTGAGTTATGTGAGGAAAGTAAAGCCCAAGGATCTTGAAAGAATCTACCAGGGTAGAGGAAGTATGAGGCATACAAATGGGATGACTGCATCCCAGGAGAGAAGATGGCAGAGAGTTCGGGTGCCTAGAAAAGGGAGAGTTTGTAAAATTACGTGGCAAAAAAAAAAAAAAAAAAGTAGACAGACACAACACTGATTCCCTTAGGGAATAATGGAGGTTGTCTAGGAAGTACAGAAAAGGACCTGTCTTCTTCCCACCCCATCCCTGAGTTGTTCTTCATCTTCTGATAATGCTGCCTCCAATTTTAAGTCTTTTACCCTAATATGTTTCCACCCCCAGAGCTCCCCTTCTCAATTTTTCTTAGTAGAATGTTTGATTTATTTCTGAGTCTTTACAATAAATCAATTATATAAGGAATGGTGAGGGATGAATTCTAGAAGAGGGTGATGCATGGAAATTTCTAAGTTTAGAGAAAGGGAAAATTGGAGTATTTAAACCTGAAGAAGGTGAGAGAGGTGAGATTCATAAAGGAAAAGAGAAAACGTGAGGTCTAAGAATCGGGAGCAGGAAGATTTTTTTAAAAGGTAAAGGAAGGAAGCCCCCAACCTACAGAGGATACCGGGGACTGCAAGAGGAAGTTTGAGGCAGGTGATGGAGGAAAAAGGGACTTTCATCTCCCCTTTCCAGTGTCCTCCCCCACATTTTTATAGCTCTCCATTCTTTCCCATTATCCATTCCCACCCCACTCCCATCCTCACACAAGCGTCCTCATCAGCTGCATGCAGGCAGCTGTTCCCCTCACCCTGGCAGTGGGGCTTGGGGGTGCTCCACTGGCCCTGACTACAGATGCTCCGGGAGCTGCCCACCAGATGGAAGTCGGGGTCACACCGGAAATCCACCCGGGCTCCGTCCAGAGCTGGGAGGTCCCCACCCGTCAGGAAAACCTTCCCATTTTCCAGGGTCAAATAAGACTTGGAGCAGATTCGGACTGTGGAGAGATAGGAAAATAAGAAGAGAGGCGAGTTGAAGAAGGCTCTTTCCCTTTAAAGAGCAGGGGACTCAGGTGCAGGTTTGGGTCCACAAGCATCCTGCTCTAAAGAAAATCACATGTGAAAAGGATTTGCCTACCTATCTTCCAATCCTCCCTTACCTGTGCAAGCATCCACACATTCCCAAAAGAAAAAAAAAATTACCATTTTAGGAACCCAAGATGGGGCTATAAGCACACAAAATGGGATCTCTTCAAAGTCAGCTACAGTGGGCGGTTCTCTGGCTTTGAAATATGTAGATGTATATAACTTTGGATGCACAATCAGATTTGCTTTTCTTATTATAGTTGGCTTCTATTAATATTAAACTGGCTTTTGTTTCTTGGGCATATGGTCTCTGGGTTGGTGACAGAGGTATTCAAAAATGTGATGAAATCATTTTAGAATCTTTTTGTCATCATCTGCCACTAATGATCCTCAAAGAGAATAACTGACAAGATGAATTATCAATGTTATAGGCCAATGATCAGTGGCCTAATGAAGGGAGGATGAAATGAACTGTGCAGGCTGCTAGCTCTACTACCTCCAACCGCACAGAGCAAAATTGCTCTTATGTAGTAGTCATTCAATAAATGTATTTGTGAATTTTGGTATACTGGATTTAAAGTGCTGACTTGCAAGCAGTAATGCTAAGTTTGCGGCAGGAAAAGGAATAGTCTTGAAGAGGGGAGGGGCTTCCGAGGCTACTCACCACAGCGGCTGGGTGTGTCCATATCTGTCCAGGAGCCGTTGGCCAGGCACTTGCGGACCTTGGGCCCCACCACCTCGCGCTCCCCCCGGCACACATACTCAATCTCATAGTCCACTGGCAGGAAGTTGATAGCCTTCACCTGGTCCCGAGTCAGGCCCCGGTACCTGATGCCCCCTTCCCAGGGCGGGTGTATGATCTGGCAACCTAAGGGGTGAGTCGGGGAGGCATACAGAGAGGAATGGTGGGAAAGAGGAAAAGGCAGGCTCCCCAGTGGGAGGAAGGGGAGAGTAGGGCGTGGTCTGTGGGCAGGCTGGGGACAGAGGAAGAGGGATGGGGCACTAGAGGGTGGGAGTGGGGACAGGTACAGATCCCCTGGCTAAAGGACAGAGAGTAAAGGGCCAGGGTTAAAGCTGATGAGAGAACCCACAAGTGGGGAGGGAAGGGTGCTGGGTGGAGGTAAGAAAGAAAAGTAATTAAGAAATCATGAAGGGTATGATATGTGGGTGGAGCTTTTCTTTAAAAAAAAAGGCTAAATGAGGATATTCGAGTTGAATTAGGATAGGAGGATAAAGGGAGGCTAATAAGATCATCTGGACAGCAAAGTGGGACCAAGAAAAGGGAGTAATTGAGGTAGTAATGTGGGGCTGGGAAAGGGGATTGAGGCGGAGAAAATGCACAGGAAGGTGGTATAGTGTAGCAATGTGGGCAGAGAAAAGAGGTGCTGGATAGTAACGTGGGGTGACAGAAGGAGGTCAGCAGTAGTAAAGTCGGGCCGAGCAGAAGGGGTTGCCAGACCGGGATGATATGTGGGACTGATGGGATAGTGATGAGGACCAGAAATGAGGAGATGCAGGGAAAGGGAAGTGGAGCGAAGGAGGGCCGGAGGTCGTCGAAGAAGGATGCACCTTCTGAGGTG
Organism: Homo sapiens; assembly: GCF_000001405.40. Lineage (NCBI taxonomy): Eukaryota > Metazoa > Chordata > Mammalia > Primates > Hominidae > Homo > Homo sapiens. The sequence continues at coordinate 898,030 of NT_167244.2, forward strand.
GCGTTGGGGGTCTGCGCCCCGCCCGCGCCCGGGGGGCGGAGGAAGAGTGGCGCCAGTAGCAGCAGCAGCAACATCTAAGTGAGAGGCGGCCATGAGGACTGGACCGAGCCCCGCCGGCGCGGCCCGCACCCGGAGACTACTCGACCTCTTGCCGGTTGCCTCGCAGGCTCCGACCGGGCTCAGCCTGGGGACCAAGAGAGCGCCCCGCGGAGGAGGCGGGGGCGGAGCCCCGCGCGGGGTGGGGGGAGAGGAGGAGAGAAAGCCTGTCCCCACCCTCCTCCTGCCTCCCTCGGCCCCCAACCCTCCCGGGACTCCACCTCTCACCACCTCCTCTCCCCCGGCCCCCGCGGCTCGCAGAAGCCTGGCTTACCCACGCTCCCGGCATCGGCCGCCTCAGCGCTCCCCGATTCCATCCCCGCGGTTCCTCCTCTCCCCCAGCCCCGCTTCCCCCAGCTGGGCCCTGCGCCCACTGCCCCCTCCCCCACCACGCCGCGCGCCCCCTCTCCGAGCCCTGCTAACCCGGGGCCCTGGCTCTTACCTCGGCGCGCGGGCCCGGCTCCCCGGCTCTCCCCGGGCCTCAAGGCCCCAGGCCGGCCGCTCCTCCCCGCTCCCCCCTCCCTTCTCCTCCACCTTTCTCCTCCTCCCGTCCCTCCTCCCCTCGAATCCAGGCTCCAGCCTGGCCAGGGTCTCTCCCCTCCTCTCTCGCTTCCCCCAAACCCCACCCCTGTCTCTTCTTCCCCGGGGCGGCGGCAGCCACGGGAGCGGGGAGCGGGGAGCCGGGAGGGAAGGAGGCGGCGCCGGGGACCAGGGAGAGCTCCCGGGCGGAGGGAAGAAGGAGGGTGCAAGGGAAGGCAGGGCGGGGGGAAGAGAGGGGAAGACCGGGGAGAGGGCGCCTCCCACAACCCGAGCCCCGGGAGCCGCCCCGGATCCCAGCCCCGCCCTGGACCGCCCACAGCGCGGTGGGGCGGGCGGTGGAGAGGCGCGGGGCTGAGAGGTGGGGGAGAGGGAGGTGCCCTGGTGCACACGCACTCGTCGGGGGGCGCCGGTCACTGCCGAGGGACCTGCGGGCCAAACAACTGGAAGCTGGGGTGGGGGAGAGGGAACCCGAGCCAAAGGCAGAGGAGCTGGCGCTGAGACAGGGAGTCTGGGATGAAGGTGGAGAAAGACGGCTGCACAAAGAGAAGGCAGCCCTAGATCCGGGTGAGAGGAGAGAGGCAGAGGCAGATGCCCAGGAGAACTGCGACCGGAGGGCGAGAAAGAAGCCTGGGTCAGAAGGAGGTGGGGGAGGGGGACTGAGGACCACCTAAGCGCAAGAAGGGTTGGGTGTAGAAGAGATTTCTGGGAGACTAGAGCAGCTCCATGGTCCAGCAGCATTGCTACTCGCCTGCTCTGCAGGGAACGCGCAGAACGGATTGGAGGCAAAAAACAAAACAGGGAGGGGGACATCAAGGAGAGAAATTGAAGTACGAAGGGAGTAAAAGGACAAGAGAAAAGAACCTCAGGGTGGTTTAGAAGCCAGTATTACCTGATGTACTCCAGCAGAGCCTAGCAAACAGTATTTCTTGACCAAGGGCAAACTGGAAGCTCTAAAGACAGCAGGTACAGACCTTTTTGACGGCTCCAGAAGCTCTTGGCTATACCTTGAAGTGGAGGGGTGTGTGTGTGTGTGTGTGTGTGTGTGTGTGTGTGTGTGTGTGTTGTGCTGTTGTTGTTCGTAGGCCTGAGTTTGGGCTGGGAGAGGAAACAGTGGGCTCCTTGTTGGGGGGGACAAAAAAAAAGCTGCTTTCTGGCTGGTCCTAGGGGGAAAAATGGTAGGAAGAAACCAAACACTGAGAGACTGACTAGAATTGAGATTCTCAACCTCCAACCCTTTTTTACAATAAATATTTTGTAATGACACTTTTACTGTCCTAAATTGAGATTCATAGATGAGGCTCACGCCTGAAATCCCAGAACTTTGGGAGGCCGAGGCGGACTGATCACTTGAGCTCAGGAGTTTGAGACCAGCCTGGCCTGGCCAGCATGGCGAAACCCCATCTCTACTAAAAATAGAAAAATTAGCGTGGTGTGATGGTGTGCGCCTGTAATCCCAGCTGAGACACCAGAATCGCTTGAACCCGGGAGGCAGAGGTTGCAGTGAGCCAAGATCGCACCACTGCACTCCAGCCTGGGTGACAGAGCAAGACTCCATCTCAAACAAAAAGAAAGGGAAGGAGGGAGAGAAAGTCATAGATGATATAACCTACCTACATACACAACTTTAAACAGAAAGCAAAATGCTTCCCTTTCTGTAACGTAAAGGGGAAATGAAAGAAAAGTAACTTGCAATAAAATAACATAAACAGTATTTTAATGTGTGAGTGCCAAGGCCCGACTACCCTAGAAGTCCTGATGGAGTAAGCAGATGCTTCCACCTATTCACAGAACCACGGGGATGAAACTGCTACCAACACAGGCTGATCCAGGTGCTGAGTTGGTGACTCAACTACCTCCAGCATGTTGCCATCAATGAAGTGATTTAACAAAATGTTGAACAACTCTTGGTAGCAAAGTTAATTTTCCCTAATTTTACACACAACTATAATTGCATTCCTAGAAAGTTCACTGTATATTTAAAAAAATATTTTAAAACTGTATTAAGTTATAGGCTCAGATAATTAAACACAGGTTTTCACTACGTGAATGTCCTGGGGGACTTTTGAGAATCTGGGTGAGGAACAATTCTTCAACATGTAGGTAGTGCTTTGAAGAATATCTTACACCTCTGCCCCAACCATAAATGTCAATAGTGCCCCTTCCCTTATCACCTGAGGTTGGGAGTTCGAGACCAGCCTGACCAGCGTGGAGAAGCCCCAACTCTACTAAAAATACAAAATTAGCCAGGCATGGTGGTGCATGCCCGTAATCCTAGCTACTCAGGAGGCTGAGGCAGGAGAATCACTTGAACCCGGGAGGCGGAGGTTGCAGTGAGCCAAGATCATGCCATGCCATTGCACTTCAGCCTGGGTGACAAGAGTCAAACTCAGTCAAAAAAAAAAAAAACAAAAAAAAACAGCTAAAAGATGCATCAAAATGTTAACAAGGATTGCCTCTGGGCCATTAATTGTTGCATAACTTTTCTTTTTTACTTTTTTTTTTTTTAAACAAGAAGTTTATTTAAACAACAAGACGCTTGACTTGAAGGGAAAACTATCTAGGATTCTTTTTTGTTTTAGAGTAATTTATCCCTACTTAAAGACAGATTGCTCTGCATGTAACAGCTAAGTACAAAAAAGTTATAAAATTGTCCTTGGTTTTACAATGATAAATGAAAAACATTAAAATTCTCCAATTGAACAAGGTATGCAAGGATTTTTATGTTGTTGTTTTTTTGTTGTTGTTGTTAAAACAGTGAGAGCAAAATAACTTACTGGAATATAAAGATAAGAGCTGAATGAGCATGCCACTAATGGAGAAAGGGGGTATTTTCACAGAATCAGTATTTTTCCGCCCCGTCTCCACTTGATGTCAATCAAAACATACCATTGGCTGTTTAGTTTTAAAAAAAAAAAGTAATATGCTTGTGCACATATACCAGTTACTTTATGTACAGTAAAGGAATGGGGAAGGGGGAAATGAAAGAATAGAGAAAACTATACGGTAGTAGTCAGGATGTGGTGGAAGCAAATTGCAGTTTTCTAATTGAGAATGTAATCTTGGTCTTTAAAGAACAGAGTTCTGGAGTAAAGAAGCAGGTTCCCTTTTCAGTAGACACCTCCCGTCTGCTGTTGGAACACATCAATTGTATCTTCATCCTCCATTTCCAACTGTGCAGGTGTGTCTGTTTCATTGGTTGCCCGTCGAATCGGAATCTGATCTGCCTCATTGACAATCCCTGTCGTTCACAATAGGCTTTCATTAGTTTACTAAGTGGTGTATGCCTCTTAATCTTAAACTGCACCACAGAACCATCCTGCCCCGCCACCTTCAAATTAATATGATCGTTGTTCTCAGTCTTGACTCCTTCCTTGGGCTTTTCTTCGGCCATGGCGAGCGCCGGAGTCTCCTCAGCTGCCGCTTCACAAAAGAGGTACCAGGTCCGCTCCAAACGAGCACACAAGCAGCACCAGGAGCGGCAGAAGAAGGAGGCGGCAGCAGTGGACAAGGGGAGAGGGTGCGCGCACGTCGTGCTCTCCCTCCCTCCACCCTCACTTTTCTTTTTTTTTCTTTCTTTTTTTTGGTGGGGGGACGGAGTTTCACTCTTGTCACCCAGGCTGGAGTGCAATGGCGTGATCTCGACTGACGGCGACTTCCGCCTCCCGGATTCAAGCGATTCTCCTGTCTCAGCCTCCCGAGTAGCTGAGACTACAGGTGCACACCACCATGGCTGGCTAAATTTTGTATTTTTAGTAGAGACAGGGTTTCACAATATTGGTCAGGCTGGTCTCGAACTCCTGACCTCAGGTGATCCACCTGCCTCAGCCTCCCAAAGTGCTGGGATTACAGGCATAAGCCACTGTGCGGGGCCTGCACACTTTTCTTTCGTCATATTTGTTGTTCAACTTTTATTCAAATGTTTTACAAGTGTCTCCTCTATAAATCATTTTTAATTGATTTATAAAGGTTTAAAGAAAACCTTCCTAGCAAGTTGCATCAGTATAGCTAAAATCTGTTACTTGTTTGGGAGGCAGAGGCATTTGAGGGTACAGACAAGGGCTCCAATTATGTTCATTATACAAACCACTCACCTTTTTCCACCAGTAGCTACAACTTCCCCCTTTCACATCTTTTCATATTCCAATGTCACTGCCAGGATTCCTGGCCATATTTTTCAGGATATTTGTAGAGGTCCTTCCAGAACCACTACTTGAGTATCCTAATTTCATCCTCCCCACAATCAATCTACTTCCTTCTTTTCCTTTTACATCAAGCACAAAACTTCTTTCCTCTGGAAGGATCCCCAGGCTTGATCCCATCCTTCTCTCACTTCTGTACAATTTGTGCCTTTGGCAATGCCATCTCCTTTTGTAGTTTTTGACGGTTTTTCATAGAGATAGTGGAGTTCCTACTCAGATTACTGGAAAATGACAAATCTTATTCATTTTAGTTCCCATACTTTCTTTTTTTTTAATAATTTTTATTTTTTATTCTTATTTATTTATTTTTATTTTATTTATTTATTTATTTTTTGAGACAGTCTCACACTGTCGCCCGGGCTGGAGTGCAGTGGCGCGATCTCGCTCACTGCAACCTCTGCCTCCTGGGTTCAAGCAATTCTCTTGCCTCAGCCTCCTGAGTAGCTGGGAATTACCGGCGCCCCACCACCACGCCCAGCTAATTTTTTGTATTTTTAGTAGAGACGGGGTTTCACCATGTTGGCCAGGCTGGTCTCAAACTCCTGACCTCATGATCTGCCCGCCTCAGCCTCCCAAAGTGCTGGGATTACAGGCATGAGCCACGGGGCCTGGCCTCCCATACTTTCTTTCTACTTCCTTTTCTCTCTTCTGCCTCATCTTCCATCCATCCCTGAGAGCATATAGCCCAGAATTTAACACTCTGGGAGCCCTGAAAACATATTAACCAACGTAGTTCACTTGATTGATGATCAGGTAGATGCTAGGTACATTTTGGGAGTATCTCATTAAATTCTCACCTAACCACACAGAGTGGATATTCATGTTCTATACTGAGCCTAGTAAACTACCATTTAAAGAAAGTAAGAAGCAAATCAGAGGTCACACAGCTATAAAGCTGACAGAGCCAACATTTGAACTTAAGTTCGTTACCCTATTTTCAAATTCTTTCTACTGCATTGAGAGGCTTAGTTTTGAGGCACTTCTCTCACCCAACTCCCACTCCAAGGCTTTTTCTTTCTTTCTTTCTTTCTTTTTTTTATTGAGACGGAGTCTTGTTCTTTTGCCCAGGCTGGAGTGCAGTGGCACAATCTCGGCTCACTGCAACCTCCGCCTCCCGGGTTCACACCATTCTCCTGCCTCAGCCTCCCGAGTAGCTGGGACTACAGGCGCCCGCCACCATGCCCGGCTAATTTTTTTGTATTTTTAGTAGAGTCGGTGTTTCACTGTGTTAGCCAGGATGGTCTCGATCTCCTGACCTCGTAATCCGCCCACCTCGGCCTCCCACAGTGCTGGGATGACAGGTGTGAGCCACCACACCCGGCTCCAAGGCATTTTCTGTCAAGGGTCAAACTGCAGTTCTATTCTCTCATCTAAAGTAGTGGTGATCACTGGGTGAATGGAAGATGTTCATGTCCTCTTGGGTTAGGATGAAAGACCTGTCTTCTGGGAGAGTTTTCTGTCCTGTAACAGCTCTTGCTCTTTAGAAAAATGTATAGGGCAAAGGTTTATTATTCAAACGTGAAGTTATTTACACTCTGGGATTCACTCTGGCTTTTTAGTGAGGTTTTGAATCCTTTGCATCATATTTAATATCACTAAAATAGGATATTTTTGTGAAACTGTTTGATCCTTCCCCTCAGTTTCCATTTGTGTGTTCTCTTTCTTCCCGTCTTGATAGGCACAGGCACTCAGAATCACTGGGCCAGAAAGAAGTAAGAGAGTAGGCCGGGCACGGTGGCTCATGCCTGTAATCCCAGCACTTTGGGAAGCCAAGGCGGGCAGATCACGAGGTTATGAGATCAAGACCATCCTGGCTAACACGGTGAAACACCATCTCTACTAAAAATACAAAAAAAATAATTAGCCGGGCGTGATGGTGGGCGCCTGTAATCCCAGCTACTTGGGAGGCTGAGGCAGGAGAATGGCGTGACCTGGGAGGCGGAGCTTGCAGTGATCAGAGATCGAGCCACTGCACTCCAGCCTGGGCGACAAAGTGAAACTCCGTCTCAGGAAAAAAAAAAAAAAAAAGAGAGAGAGTAAGGGAACATCTTTCGTTAATAAACCCTCTCTATTGCTCCCCACACACAATCCTAGTTTGGTTGCTGTCTTCGTCTGTTTCAGCTGCCATAACAAAATCTCTTGCACCGGGTAACTTATGAACAACAGAAATGTATTTCTGACAGTTCTGGAGGCCGGGAAATCCAAGATTAAGGCACTGGCAGATTCAGTGTCTGGTGAGGGCTGGCTTCCTCATAGACTGCCATCTGCCATCTGCGATCTAGCTGTGTCTTCACATGGTGGAAGGGCAAACAAGCTCCCTGGGGCCTCTTTTAGAAGGGCACTAATCTCATTTGCAAAAGTCCCCACCACTTAATACCACATTGCATTGGGGATTAGGTTTCAGAACATGAATTTTGGGGGAACACAAACATTCAGACCATAGCAGTTGTACATTCTTGGCAGTTCTGGCCTTGGTTTATTGTGCCAATAAAAGTAAGCTCGTGAAGCTATTTCTATCATGTCTTTACAGGCATGTACAGGTGAGCCCAGTTTGGGAGTCACAAAACTTCAGTGAAATTAAAAAGCCACACTATGAGTACCTGCACTAGCACTTACCACTCTCACACACAAGAATCCCTGAGGCAGTGGGGATCCTACCCCTGTCTCAGGAGTGCACAGAGCCAATAACCAAATTACAACATTGACATTGTGAAGTTGCCTCTAGAAATAATTTCTCAATAAGTACACCTTTATATAATAAGTGAATGAACACAATGTAATTAAATGCTAGATTAACCTAAGAAACAAAAAGGAAAATAGCTTCTTTGTCCGTTCATCTACAGGATAATGAGGTCATGTTAAAAGACTTAGAAAAGGTTCAGTTCTCCTGCCGGGCGCCGTGGCTCATGCCTTTAATCCCAGCACTTTGGGAGGCCTAGGCGGGCGGATCACCTGAGATCAGGAGTTTGAGACCAGCCTAACCAACATGGAGAAACCACCCATCTACTAAAAATACAAAATTAGTCGGCCATGGTGGTGCATGCCTGTAATCCCACCTACTCGGGAGGCTGAGGCAAGAGAATCGCTTGAACCCAGGAGCTGGAGGTTGCAGTGAGCTGAGATTGTGCCATTGCACTCCAGCCTGGGCAACAGGCAAAACTGTCTCCAAAAAAAAAAAAAAAAAGGTTCAGTTCTCATAAACACAAATTTAATGAGCATTTTGAAGATCTCAAAATAAGTATTATATTTAATTAAACATGTGTAATTAAGTATATACTGGTATGAATATCTACAAATAATTATTCATACTAATCTGAAAAACGTATGCATCATAATGTGTGTATATAATTGGTTGCTAGGGGATTTGTTTGTTCATTTTGCTGCAATAGATTTCTGTCTCTCGTCATATTCTGTTCAAGTACCTAAAATGATTGCTCACTTATTCGAAGCACACTAATGAAATAATACTCAGAGTAAAAGGATATATCACCCAGATTTTTCTATTAGAAGCTACACAATACTCAAAAATCTATCATTTAATATGTGTATGCAGGTCTAAAGCCCATAATAAGCAAAAATATATTTTCACGTTAAATGTATGGCTATTTACACTAGATGAGGTAAAGAAAGACTATAAATAGCTTCACATCTCGTTTTGTCACAGAATGAATGCAAGTCAGGCCAGGCTTTGCCGCCAAATGAGTTACAAAATTTTGGTTTTCAGAGTATTGTGAATTTTGGAATTGCAGAAAAGGATATGTGAAACTGTTTATAAACATGAGAAGATGTTTACAGATAGATGTTTTAGAAGTCAAATGAACAAATCTGAAGCAACAGACTAGAAATTCTATTCATGGAAATATGATAAAAATGCCAGTAAGAGGGCTGGGCGTGGTGGCTCACACCTATAATCCTAGCACTTTGGGAGGCCGAGGCGGGTGGGTCGCTTGAACTGGAGTCCGAGACCAGCCTGGGCAACATGGCGAAACCCCATCTCTACCAAAAATACAAAACCCCGTCTCTACCAAAAATACAAAAAATCAGTTGGGCATGGTGGCAGGTGCCTGTAATCCCAGCTACGGGGGAGGCTGAGGAAGGAGAATTGCTTGAACCTGGAAGGCAGAGGTTGCAGTGAGCCGAGATCACACCACTGCGTTCCAGCCTGGGCGACAGAGCAAGACTCCATCTCAAAATAAAATAAAATAAAATAAAATAAATTTTAAAATGCCAGTAAGGATCTCCATAAAGGCTATGTATGAAAACCTGACCATGTCACATCCATGACCCTATTACAGCAGGTCAGATTAATCTTACCCTAGTCCAGAGAACCACGGGAACCACTGAGTCCTAGTGGAGGGAAAGCCTGGAACAGATGTGAAGCAAGCTTGGCTTTTAGCAATTGAGAGTAAACAAACACCTGCTGAGTTTACTCTTCCTTGCCTGTCTTTCTAAGCCATCACTCTGAAGACCTAAAAAGCAGACATGACTCATACACACCTTCAGATGCTTTCAGTATTTGTTACACCTAGATCTGTGCAGAAACTGAATACCTTATTGGTGCATAATTTACAAAGAATTCTCACATTAGCTCTTCTAATTCTTTCTGTTGTTTCTATATGATAATATCTCCATTTGTCAGATAGGAAAACTGAAGCTCAGAAAGTTTGAATGAACTTCATAAGATCACACAGCCAATAAATACCAGAGCTTGGCCTCAAAGTCAAGTCTCAGGTCCTTCTGCCCTTCACTAACAGTGCTCCAGCCATGGTCGTCTGACTGCTGTTCTTTAAACTTCCTTAACTTTCAACTCAGAAACCAAACACACCCAGCTCCCTCTGCCTGGGCGTGGTGCTCTGTTCAGCCTCCTCACCCCACACCCATGTTGCTAACAGCTTAAATGGCACCTCCTCAGTAAAGCCTCCCCTGAATTCCCCAGACTTAGAACACTGTTTCCCCAATCCCACTAGCCACTCTCATATATGGCATACTGTAGTCGTTGTTTTGTTTGTTTGTTTTTTAGAAAGAGAGAGAGAGAGAAAGAAAAGAAGAAACGAAAGAAAAGAAAAAAAGAAAAGAAAAGAAAATCAAAATCCATGTGGGTGTGGTGGCTCATGCCTGTAATCCCAGCACTTTGGGAGGCCGAGGCAGGCAGATAGCTGAGGTCAGGAGTTCCAGACCAGCCTGACCAATATGGTGAAACCCCGTCTCTACTAAAAATACAAAAATTAGCTGGGGGTGGTGGTGCATGCTAAAGGGAAGGGAAGGGGAAGGGGAAGGGAGAGAGGAAGGAAGGGAGGGAGGAAGGAAGGAAGGAACTTATCTCCGTCTGGGTAACATGAGGAGACCCTGTCTCTAACAAAAATTAAAAATATTAGCCGAGTGTGGTGGCATGAGCCTGTAGTCCCAGCTACTTGGGAGGCTGAGGCAGGAGGATCGATTTAGCCTAGGAAGTCAAGGTCAGTAAGCTGCGATCATGCCAATGCACTCCAGCCTGGGTGACAGAGAGAGATTCTGTCTCAAAATAAAAATAAAACCACAAAACTTATCTCAGTGGTAATTAAGGTAACTGTGGAATCGTGTATTTACATTTGCCTTCCTGACCAGACCATAAACTCCAGGAGGGCAGGGATTTTGACTATGTGGCTCATTTTATCCCACTAAAAGAGCTACATATTTTCTGACTCAGAGATGAGTTTCATTCCATTGTACAGAATGATCACACCAGTTTCCAAGTCTATTAATCTAGCGGTCTCTGTTGTTTGTTGAAGACCTACTAGGTATTGGTAAAATGGGTTGCTTTGTTCCATGGGCCATAATAGTGACACATTCTAAACACATTTAAGTCATTCCACCCTATAAGTTACAGGATAATAATAATAATAGCATTTATTTTACTATAACCAGTTTTGGGCTGTGTGTTTTACTTGGATTGTCTCACTTGCTCCTTATAGCATTCTCTGATATAGATATTAGTCTTCCCATTTACAAAATGGGAAAACTGAAACTCAAACATGTTTAATAATCTGCACAGTGTCTCACATGTAACAAGCCAACATGAGATTAGTGATTCCAAAGACCCTGCTCAGCCCAATGACAAGATGTGGAAAGCACCCTCAAGGCACCCAGGGGTCTCTCTCCCTGAGAGTCCTGTGCATATCAGCAATGCTGCTAAGGATTAAATCACTGCGGTTATCACTATGTGGGTAAGATTTCTGTTAGTAGAAGATCCAGAAGATTCACCCTGCCATAGAGCAGGGGGCCTTGGCTGAGCCATAGGCAGAATCACTCTCCAAAAAGACTTACCAGTGTTTATCTGAATATTTTCTTTTAGCAATAACTTTACTTACTTGCGTTATTTGTAGGTGCTGCCATTTTGCTGTCCATGATGCTACTATGCTCAGTACCCTTACTGTACTGCCCAGTAGCCCTTACCATTAGCAAACTAAAGCTTCCTCACCAGCATTAGACCTGGCAAGACCTCTGTGCATCCCCCACCACCCATGAGTATTTTGATAGCATTGCAAGTATAATCTCTGGTGCATGCACAAATTCTGCTCCACATAGCAGCGCTAATGGTGGCCCACATCGGGAATAGGAGTAGAGCAAGATGTTACCAGGAAGAGGGCCTTACTTCTCTTCTCTCTCTTCTCGCTGCTTTTTTGTTTGTTTGTTTGTTTGTTTGGTTTGTTTTGTTTTTTAGATGGAGTCTTGCTCCATTGCCCAGGCGAGTGTAGTGGCGCAATCTCAGTTCACTGCAACCTCTGCCTCCCAGGCCTGTCCCAGCCTCCCGAGTAGCTGGGACTACAGATGCCTGCCACCACGCCTGGCTAATTTTTGTGTTTTTAGTAGAGGTGGGGATTCACCTTGTTGGTCGGGCTAATCTCAAACTCCTGACCTCAGGTGATTCACACGCCTTGACCTCTCAAAGTGCTGGGATTATAGGCATGAGCCACTACGTTCAGCCATTCGCTGCTCTTAAGAAAGTACTTTTCCAAAGATCATTCTCCTTGGTCTTATCTTAAGATCCTGCTATGAAATAGGGACACGGGTGGAAAATTTTCACCTGTGCCTGCAGCAAACTTTCATTCTGTCTGAATAATTATAAGTAGGATGGGGGAGGGGAGAAGAAAAAGAAAGAGACCATGATCTGAAGAACCTTAACTGTTCCCCTGTTATCCCTGGTTACTGTCAAGCAGCTAGCAGGCTAGGCTAGGTGGGGTATCTTCTTTAACTCTACTCCTGCATTAGCTGTTCTAAATCCTAGAACTCATGCCCTGTTTGAAATTTCTTTCCCTATGCCCAACTCAAGTGATGCCATCCTATTTTCTATTTTCCACCATGGGAAAAATGGAAAATAACAGGAGAAATGTATTAAGAAAGCATTCTTGAATTTGATTTTGTTAACTTTTTTTTTTTTTTTAACAGTCTTGCTCTGTCACCCAGGCTGGAGTGCAGTGGTGCAAGCTTGGCTCACTGCAATCTCCACCTCCTGGGCTTAAGCAATTCTTGTGCCTCTGCCACCTGAGTAGTTGGGATTATAGGCATGCACCACCACGCCCAGCTAATTTTTGTAATTTTAGTAGAGATGGGGTTTCACCATGTTGGCCAGGCTGGTCTTGAACTCCTGACCTCAAGTGATCCTCCCACCTCGGCCTCCCAAAGTGCTGGGATTACAAGCATAAGCCACCACCCCCGGCCTGAATTTGTTAACTTCTTACCAACATTTTACAAAGAAGATTGAAGGTAATGTGGGTTCTAAGACTGAAGAGTACAAGGTAAGCTGGTGGTTAATGGGGAGGAGGGATGATGGATGAACTGGTCAGGGAAGAGGATGAAATGGCTCAAAATAGAGGTACAAATAGAATGGGCTGGGCTCCTCCAACCATTCCTTGTGATTTTATTTTTACTTTTTTTTTTTTTTTTTTGGTGGAGTTTCACTCTTGTTGCCCAGGCTGGAGTGCAATGGTGCGATCTCGGCTCACTGCAACTTCCACCTCCTGGATTCAAGTGAGTCTCCTGCCTCAGCCTTCTGAGTAGCTGGGAATGCAGATGCGATCTCGGCTCACTGCAACTTCCACCTGGGTTCAAGTGATTCTCCTGCCTCAGCCTTCTGAGTAGCTGGGAATGCAGGCGTGTGCCACCACACATGGCTAATTTTTTGTATTTTTAATAGAGATGGGGTTTTGTCATGTTGCCCAGGCTGGTCTTGAGCTCCTGACCTCAGATGATCCGCCCACCTCGGCCTCCCAAAGTGCTGGGATTACAGGTGTGAGCCACCGCGCCTGACCTATTTTTACTTTTTTAAAAGACAGGTCTCACTCTATTGCCCAGGCTGCTCTTGAACTCCCGGCCTCAACCAATTCTTCCTGCTCAGCCTCCTGAGTAGTTGGGACTACAGCACTCACAACTGTGCCTGACCCTTCTCTTAATTTTAACTCCTGAGTGATTTTCTTCTCTGGACCCCAAGGAGTCATGATATCTCTAAATTATATCCTGAAGTTATTTCAACTTTAGAAAATAAAGTTTTAGGCCTGGTTCAGTGGCTGACACCTGTAATCCCAATACTTTGGGAGGCTGAGGCAGGCAGATTGCTTGAGCCCAGGAGTTTGAAGCTAACATGGCAAAACCCCATCTCTATCAAAAAAAAAAAAAGAAGAAGAAGAAGAAGAAGAAAAGAAAAAAGGCTAGGCGCGGTGGCTCACACCTGTAATCCCAGCACTTTGGGAGGCTAAGGTGGGCAGATCACGAGGTCAGGAGTTCGAGAACAGCCTGACCAACATAGTGAAACCCTGTCTCTATTAAAAATACTAAAATTAGCCAGGTGTGGTGGTGGACACCTGTAATCCCAGCTACTCAGGAGGCTGAGGCAGGAGAATCACTTGAACCGGAGAGGCAGAGGTTGCAGTAAGCTGAGTTTGCGCCATTGCTCTCCAGCCTGGGTGACAGAGTGAGACACCATCTCAAATAAAAAAGAAAAGAAAAAAAAGATCTTGGAATGCTTTTTTTCTGCCTGTGTATTGATATTATTCTTAAGGGGCTCATAAGAAAACTAAATATATATATTTACATATATATATATATATAAAATCACCCAGGTTGGAGTGCAGCGGTGCAATCTCAGCTCACTGCAATATCTGCCTCCAGGGTTCAAGCAATTCTTTTGCCTCAGCCTCCCCAGTAGCTAGGATTTCAGGCATGCACCACCATGCCTGGCTAATTTTTGTATTTGAAGTAGAGACAGGGTTTCGCCATGTTGGCCAGGCTGGTTTTGAACTCTGGACCTCAAATGACCCTCCTGCCTAAAGTACTGGGATTACAGGGGTGAGCCACCATGCCTGGCCCAGAAAATATTATTGTTATTTAATATGACCTGCCATAACTACCATTAAAAGTAGTACAGGTGTGCAAAAGAAACTTATCTGGCTATGGCTGGGCGCGGTGCTCACGCCTGTAATCCCAGCACTTTGGGAGGCTGAGGCAGACTGATCATGAGGTCAGGAGATCAAGACCATCCTGGCTAACATGGTGAAACCCTGTCTCTACAAAATATACAAGAAAAAATTAACCGGGCATGGTGGCGGGTGCCAGCTACTCGGGAGGCTGAGGCAGGAGAATGGCGTGAACCTGGGAGGCGGAGCTTGCAGTGAGCAGAGATCGCGCCACTGCACTCCAGCCTGGGCAAGAGAGCAAGACTCGGTCTCAAAAAGAAAAGAAAAGAAAAGAAATCTTACCTGGTTGTAAGATTTTTTTCTCATTTAGTCAATAAATATTTATGGAATAGGGCAGTTTGGGATCACACACATGAGCTAAGCATGATGTCAGCCTTCATAGCTCCTACAATGTGGTATGGTGATTTTTTTTTCTTTTTGAGATGGGAGTCTCACTGTGTCAACCAGCCTCAAACAGTCCTTCCATCTCAGCCTCCCAAGTACCTGGGACTACAGGTGCATGCCACCATGCCCAGCTACTTTTTTGTATTTTTGATAGAAACAGGGTTTTGCCATGTTGGCCAGGCTGATCTCAAATTCCTTTCCTCAAGTGATCCGCCTGCCTTGGCCTCCAAGAGTGCTGGGATTACAGGCATGAGCCACTGCACCCAGCCAATGATTTTAAAACTGGAATACAGAAAGAGAAGAAGAAAGTCATGCTCCATCTTTATTATTTAAAAATCAGAACAGATACACATATTTGTTGTGAGCACTAATTAAAATATCCTTAAAGTTTCCTTACCTTGGAGTGGAATTATTTGCATATGTATACACATGATGCTGACTTTAGAAGAAAAGTTACAAGTTAAAACACGTTTGATTAATAAAAGAAAAAGAAATAAATTATACATAAATTTAGCTTTGTTGCTGAAAATCACCTCTCCAAACATAGAGTTCAGGTTGGGGCAAATAAAAAATTGCATAAAACAAAAAGGCTAAGAAATGGTACAAAAAACTCAGAGAACCACTACTTCACGTTTCCCAATAAAGCATCTTTTATATTTATAAAAGTTAAGCCTGCATATCTCTGCCCCCAATTGCAGCAGAAACACCTGAAAAAGAATGCCAGTCTGGTCTTGCTCTGACAATGGTTTTCTGACTGACCTTGAGCCTGTCACAACCCGTCTGGCCTCAATTTCATCAACTGTAAAATAAGAATAAAACTATTTGATATCTTTAACTCACATACTATTGTGAGAAATAAATACAATCATAGACAAATGTTTTCAGAATGTGAAAATGCTATAGGAACACACTTTTTCTCCAGTGGCTGGCATAAAAGTGTTGGTATGCTATACCACCAAGTCATTAGATATGAGTTAATTTCTGGATTACTGTTTCAGTAAGAATAAGCTCTACACAACTTCAGCAAGTGATGTTGGTATGTCATCCACAAAGTTCTGTCACCCTATTCCATAGCATACCCCTGTTGAACTTCCCACATCCCTGTCTTCCCTTAGCTTCCTGTATCCAACCTCAGCGCAATAGCTCAGTTTGACCATTAGATGGTACCAGTTACAAGGCAAACTTAGGTCCCTTCAGAAACTGAGCATTTCTAAAAAGCAAATATTTTTTCAGGTTTGTTTGTAACTTAAACAACAAAAAAATCATTATTTTAAAGGCCATATGCTCACTGTGAAAATATATCAGGTGGTGTATGAAATAATAAGTAAATTATCTGCCGGGCGCGGTGGCTCACGCTTGTGATCCCAGCACTTTGGGAGGCCTAGGCGGGCAGGCAGATCACGAGGTCAGGAGTTGGAGACAAGCCTGGCCAACACAGTGAAACCCTGTCTCTACTAAAAATACAAAAATTAGGCCGGGCGCGGTGGCTCACGCCTGTAATCCCCGCACTTTGGGAGGCCGAGGCGAGCGGATCACGAGGTCAGGAGATCGAGATCATCCTGGCTAACACGACGAAACCCCGTCTACTTAAAAAAAAATACAAAAATTAGCCGAGGGTGGTGGCGGGCGCCTGAAATCCCAGCTACTCAGGAGGCTGAGGCAGGAGAATCGCTTGAACCTGGGAGGCGGAGGTTGCAGTGAGCTGAGATCACGCCACTGCACTCTAAGAGTGAAACCATGTCTCAAAAAAAAAAAAAAAGTCAAAAATACTAATAAAAATACTAATCTCGTAGTTAACAGATTGCTGTGACCTAGAGCAAGTAAAGGTGTAATTATCAGCCTATAGGGGTTAGAGTGGCAAGAAGATGCCTGAGGGTGAGCCTACAGCCTAAAAGATAATAGAATACAAAGGCTGAAGACCTACAGGCAGGGATTCTTTGTCATTCATTCTTTCAGCAAACTTATTCTAATATGTATCCCTCACTATTCAATGCCCAGGAGGGCACAGGGAAAATAAGACGAAGTCCTGCCCTCACTGGCTAACATTCTAAGCACAGGTGCTGCACAAGAGGTGTTATGTTTTTTGGGGGAGCCAGACACAGGCCTAAGCACTTTATGTACCTTGTCTCATTTAATCCTCACATCAGCACCACGAGGTGACAGAATTATCATTTTGCAGTTAAATAAATTGATATTTCTTCATGGCCAGGTGCAGTGGCTCACGCCTGTAATCCCAGCACTTTGGGAGGCTGAGGCGGGTGGATCACCTGAAGTCGGAGTTCGAGACCAGCCTGACCAACATGGAGAAACCCCATCTCTACTAAAAATACAAAATTAGCCGGGCATAGTGGCGCATAGCCTGTAATCCCAGCTACTCGGAAGGCTGAGGCAGGAGAATCACTTGAATCCAGGAGGTGGAGGTTGCGGTGAGCCGAGATCGCGCCACTGCACTCCAGCCTGGGCAACAAGAGCAAAACTCCGTCTCAAAAAAAAAAAAAAAAAAAGAGAGATTTCTTTAAGCTCTTTGCCTAGGGTCACAGGTCTTTCCACAGGACCGTAGACTAGAGTCAGATGTGTTCCTCAATCAATTAGGAAAGGGTGGTGCTGGAATTTGCATCTGAGTATTCCAAGCTTCTATATTCTCATATTCTGGAATGAGGATATTATGAGTCCTGAAACAACTCTAGAAATTCTAGGCTACATAATTATCCCTCCATAACGTGTTCTCTGCCAGAATAATAATGAAAAAAAAGTACTGTGGTGGCCAGACCCCAAGATGATTGGCGAAGTGAAAGTTGCCCAGTTCCAAAATGGCCACCACCGCACTTTCCTGGCGTCGGAGCGACTACGTAGTGACAGAAGGACCATCAGCAGGTGGGTGCTCACAGGGACTGTGCCAGTTGCCAAACTGGCCACCTGGGCCTTTCTTCTCCTGAGCAACAGCCAAGCAACATTATAGGCTTCAGGCCTACCTAGCCCAGGCTGGGTTAAAGCAGATAAACGAAGCGGACAGCGGAGGAAAAGCACGTAACCAAGTGCAGTGGGTCTGAAGCGAAAGGCAAGAAAAGCTCTGCCCTTAGGAACGGGGTGTCACTGCGCGGCTCGCAGGCACCTCTCTTTGACCTATTTATAATCTGCGCCTTATTCTCCGCCCCCAAAGGCTGCTGGCAACCAATTCTCGGTGGCGAAGTCGTGACGTCAGCTGTTGCGGGTCAGATTGGGAGAGCTTCCTGGTCCTTACCTAGCAAGATTCTGCCGCTAGGTGGCGAAAAGCGAAGGGGCCAAAGAAATGGAAAGAAGGCGAGGAAAAGCGGGAGAAGATGGGGAAGGAAAATGTATATTCTTGTATCATCCTACAGCTAGGCAAAAATATTAGGATAATGTGGCCTAACCTCCAGTTCTATGTTGGCTGGAAAATCCAGGAATGGGAAGCTCACTCCCGTAGTTCCCACTCATTCCCACCACGGTTGGACAGCTCTGAAGGAGGGAAAATTCTTTCTTTTGAGCTGAAATCTGCCTTCAGAGTCTTGCACCCAACTGTTCTACCCCACGGGGACCTACAGAACAGCCCAAAGCCTCTTACGCAGGACAACCCATAGCAGTTTGATTAAAATCAGCGCAAACCCATTCCCATTTGGTGAGGGGGGAGGGGGAGGGGCAAGCCTCAGTGCCTGACTCACTTGACTCACAAGAAGCTGAATGTTTTTCCTTTTGAAAGATAAAAATATTGGTGAATCTCAGACTAACAATAGGGAATACACAAAAATGGAAAAAATGTTGATAGATAAAATTTAAACCTTTGGTAGAACATAATTAGTTTTTTGTTCTCTACATTTTTCCATATCGTTTCTAATTTTTCTACACTGTATGTGTTACTTAAAGAAATAAACCAGTAGGCCAGGCGCGGTGGCTCACGCCTGTAATCCCAGCACTTTGGGAGGCCGAGGCGGGCGGATCACGAGGTCAGGAGATCGAGACCATCCTGGCTAATACGGTGAAACCCCGTCTCTACTAAAAAAATACAAAAAATTAGCCAGGCATGGTGACGCACCCCTGTAATCCCAGCTACTCAGGAGGCTGAGGCAGGAGAATGGCGTGAACCCGGGAGGCGGAGCTTGCAGTGAGCCGAGATCGTGTCACTGCACTCCAGACTGGGCGACAGAGCAAGACTCTGTCTCAAAAAAAAAAAAAAAAAGAAAAAGAAATAAACCAGTATGGCCGGGCGCGGTGGCTCATGCCTGCAATCCCAGCACTTTGGGAGGACGAGGCGGGTGGATCACGAGGTCAGGAAATCGAGCCCATCCTGACCAATATGGTGAAACCTCGTCTCTACTAAAATACAAAAAATTAGCCGGGCGTGGTGGCGGGTGCCTGTAGTCCCAGCTACAAAGGAGGGTGAGGCAGGAGAATCCCTTGAACCCGGGAGGTGGAGGTTGCAGTGAGCCAAGATCGTGCCATTGCACTCCAGCCTGGGCAACAAGAGCGAAACTCCGTCTCAAAAAAAAAAAAGAAAGAAAAGAAAAAGAAATAAAGCAGTATGAAAGAGCAGCCCCTGGCTGCATTCACCACAGCACCCATGCTCACACATGCTACAGGCGCTCACTTGCTGGGAGCTGCCTCACATTGATTCGGATCAGTGTTCTCATTTCTCCGACCTACCTAGGAAGCATCTGGCTAAATTGATGTAAATTAGACATTTTATAGTCTATCGGTCATTGAGCCTCAGTGGAATATCTAGACCAATTTAAACACACAAATATTATGGGAAATAGGGCCACAAAAGTAGAAAAGAAAACGTGAATTCCTCTTTATATTTATGCCACTAGAGGGAGTTCCAGAAGAAAATCACTGCATGTAAGGGCTAATGACTGTATTTACTGAGTGGTTACTGTGTACCATTCACAGTTCACAGGGACTCATTCATGTCATTCTCATGATAACCCTGATGAAGTGGATGATATTATTCCCTCACTCACTAAGGAGAAAGCCAGGGTACAGTGAAGTATACAACTTTGTGCAGGGCAATTTATCAATATTTATTGAAATTACCAAAAAACATGCTCTCTGAACAAACTATTCTACCAGTGTAGAAAGCAGAGTAAACTTCATGGGTGAGTGACCAGGGCAGTCACACAAGGGCCCCATGCTTAGAAGGGATACTGTGTTTGGGTTCTAAAGCTCTGTGGTTCCTGTCTTGAAATTCTTAATAATTTTATCTTTCAATTTGTGTCTTATAATGAAGTCCGATGAGAAAGCAGAACATGGGCTAGAGACTTTTGGAGCCTGGCTCAAGCGAGGTCCTGCTCCCCATGCCTCCCAGCCTCCCCAGGACTGGTTTTCAGCTGCCGGCTCCACCACCTTCTGTGCAGGCTCGCTCCCAGCAGGGGCCTGGGAACAGTGGAAAGGAGGGGAGCGGTCAGGCATACACACCTCCCTTGCCAAATGGAAGGCATGGCCCTAGGCACTTGTGAAGATCTGCACTTCCCCCTAGGTACTCCTGTGCCTGGAGTGTGACATTAAATTAAAAAAAAAAAGGCCGGGCGCGGTGGCTCACGCCTGTAATCCCACCATTATGGGAGGCCAAGGCAGGCGGATCACGAGGTCAGGCGATCGAGACCATCCTGGCTAACACGGTGAAACCCCGTCTCCACTAAAAATACAAAAAAATTATCTGGGCATGGTGGCGAGCGCCTGTAGTCCCAGCTACTTGGGAGGCTGAGACAGGAGAATGGCTTGAACCCGGGAGGCGGAGGTTGCAGTGAACCGAGATTGCGCCACTGCACTCCAGCCTGGGCGACAGAGCGAGACTCCGTCTCAAAAAAAAAAAAAAAAAAGAAAAGAAAAAAACCCCACATAATAGGTTGACAGTGGAACCACAGAAAAAAGGAAAAGGTTGGGTTTTTTTTCTGCTTTTTATTTTCTATTTTATTATTTTTTAATAGATTTATTTAACTAGAGATGGGGTCTCACTATGTTGTAAAGGCTGGACTCGAGACCCTGGGCCCGAGCGATCCTCCAACCTGGTCCTCCCAAAGTGATGGGATTACAGGCGTGAGCCACTGCACCTGGTCTTTTCCTGCTATTAAACAAGGAGCTCCATAGTTTCATTTTGCCCCTCAAAATATGTAGCTGGCCTTAGTAGACTGATATTCATTGCCAAATTATATGTAAGAGCAAAAAGGTTGAAAATGATGGCCTGACATTGATCAATTTGTGCCTTTAGGTAACATATAACTGTAATATAACTGCAATACAACTAGAATATAACTCATAAAGGCAAGAATCTTGTCTGCCTTGCTGAAAGTTTTATAATCAGGGCCTAATATAAAGTATGACACATAGCACTTGCTTTTAAATATGTATTGATTTAAATTAATTGAGTACATTTTTGCTTCATCCTAGTAAAAATAGGTATTTAAAAAACTGAAACAGTCTAAATGTCTTGGGATGCTACTTAAATAACTATATTATATTCATCCAATAAAATATTGTAAGCTGTTTAAAAATAACAAGGATGTTCTTTAGGTACTGATAAGGAAAGAGCTTCAAGATAAATTGTTACCATTTATGTAAAACAGGTGGGAGAAGGGAGAGGGAGGGATGTGTGAGCGCTACTTGCAGTACTCACAGGCAGTGACTTTCGTGGAGCGCCCTCTAGTGGTATATATATACAAACGGAAGGATTTAGAGAAAATACAGATCGGCTTTAGCTGGCTGAGATTTATTTTCAAAGCATGTTACTTTATAAGAATCAATTTTTATTTAAAAAATTTTTTTGAGATAGGGTCTCACTCTGTCGCACAGGTTGGAGTGCAGCAGCACGATCAGTGCTCACTGCAGCCTCTCTCTCTTGGGCTCAACAGGTGCATGTCACCACGTCCAGCTAACAATCAATTTTCAAAAGTACAAAAAAGCCATATTATGTATTAATGTGGAATTATGAATTAAGTAGACAACAAGAATCAAAACAGGGTGTCTATTATCACTTCTGATAACATAAATAATGTAAAGATACATATTTTACAGATTATCTGTAAAAGCTTATACAGTACTGTTGCTGGGTATTTATGTAGGAAAGCTACCATTTATTGAATGCTTACTATTTCACATATGGACAGCATAGAGCATGTTAAAAAATTACCACACACATTTACTGTATTCAATGTGTCACTCTGAATATATTACTGTGTACATGGTCTGTCATTGGACATGGTGAGAGATGCAGATTAAGCTGAAATTACTGAGGACAGCAACACTGGAAGAAAATTGAGCTGGGTGTAGTGGCTCAGCCTGTAATTCCAACATTTCAGAAGGCTGAGGCAGGAGGATCACTTGAGTCCAGGAGTTTGAGACCAAGGGAAAGAAAAGAAAAGAAGCTTTCATTTAGCCAGGCATGCTGGCACATACCTGTAGTTTCAGCTACTCAGGAGGTTGAGGCATAAGGTTCACTTAAAGTTGAGAGGTAAAGGCTGCAGTGAGCCCTGATCACGCCACTGCTCTCCAGCCTGTGACAGAGAGAGACCCTGTCTCAAAAACGAGAAAGAAAGAAAAAAAGAGGCAACTCAAGAACTCAGGAATACTTGCAGGATCTCATAACATATGCTATACAAAATCAATTAAAATAATATTTAAATGCTGAAAGAAATGAGCAGCTCCCAGGGTGATACAGGGTGGTTTCACTTCTTGGACACATCTACACTGAGCTCTATTCCTGGCAATACCTGATGTTCCCATACCCCAGATTTCTTTATTTTATTTTGAGACGGAGTTTTGCTCTTCTTGCCCAGGCTGGAGTGCAATGGCGGGATCTTGGCTCACCGCAATCTCCGCCTCCTGGGTTCAAGGGATTACCCTGCCTCAGCCTCCCGAGTAGCTGGGATTACAGGCACACGCCACCATGCCCAGCTAATTTTTGTATTTTTAGTAGAGGCAGGGTTTCTCCATGTTGGTCAGGCTGGTCTTGAACTCCCAACCTCAGGTAATCTGCCCGCTTCGGCCTCCCAAAGTGCTGGGATTACAGGCGTGAGCGGGCCCAGCCCCTATACCCCAGATTTCTGCAAGTGGCAACACCACTGGCTTCATTTTGCTGGTGGCCCCTCTGGCCTTCCCTTGTATATATCACCTTTGCCCAAAGACCATGTCAGCCAAGGGACTGCTCTCACAGCTCCAGGAATCCTCCCCTTTCAGGAAATTTGAGGCAGTTGAGGGCATGAAAGTAAATAAGCTGAGCTCATCAGAGGCCTTGTATTGTGGTGGTTAAAAGAGCCAGTTCTAGGACTAGAAAGCCTGGCTTGAAATCCCAGCTCTGCCACTCCCTAGTGGTGTGACTTTAGCAAGTTCCTTTACCTCTTTTGTACCTCCCTTTTCTCACCTGTAAGATATGGGTGATAATAGTTTAATATTTGTTTTGTTGTTGTGAGGATTAAAGGTGTTAATGCAAGTAAACCACTTAGAACCACAGCACATAGAATATCTCAGTAAGGTGGTTAGTTTTTTTTATTGTTGTTTTCAGAGATGCTGTGATTTCTCCAAAGTGGCTGTGATGGCTCGGCAGGCTCCTGACCCTCTCTGCTCCCACATGCCTCCACCCTCATCCTGATCTCCCATCCAGCTTTTGACAGCTTGCTTGGTGCTGGACAATTGCACACATCTTACCACCCCCAAATCCTGCCCAGAAGCATCTTGTGCATAACTCTCCTACCTGAATATGCAACAGGGAGAAAGAGCGTCCCAGGACATTTTAGGTTTTTGAAGAAAAAAAAACCCCTTTGGTAAAAAGCCAGAGATCCACAGCGGCCACTTTTTCCATGGGATTGACCCCTGCAATCTTGACTTTCAACCACACAGCACCAGAGTAGCCAAACATTGCTTGTGTCCAAACGCTGGCTGCCTTGAAGGGTGAAAGAATAAGCAGTTCCCAAACTCAGCTGACCTTAATGTCCTTCTAGCTCCTTACGCCCATCTCGGACAAAAACAGAAATGTATGTCTCAGTTGTGTTTCTACCCCTTGCTGCCCAATATAAATTTTTGTGTTGCCCAATATAATTTTTTGTGACGATGGAAATGTTCTGTATTTGTGTTGTCTGATGAGATAACCACTAACTGTAGTGCTATTGAGCATTTGAAACATGGCTAGTGTAATCAATGAACCAAATTTTTAATTTTATTTAATTGTAATTAATTTTAAGTGGCCACATGCAGGGAGTGACTGCTGCATTGGACAGCACGGCTCTAAATTGAGCCTTTTTTCCTTATTTGGTGAGGCATACTTGCCTTAAGATTGGGAAGTCTATTTTTGGAACCTGCTACCAATGCTGGTCTCACACTTGCAATTCTCAGCTGAGCCAAGAGGTGAGAGAAAGGTCATTTTCCATTCCAGATCTCACTCTCCCCTGTGACACTGAGGAAACTGGCAAGTGATGTGAAGGCTGGAGAGCGTGTCCTGTATGCTGGCTCTGTCCCTTCTGCCTGTGTTGACTGACATAGTTAGTTGCTGCCCTTGCTGGTCTCCCTTCCTCCAACCTTGCCTCTCTGAGCACACCTGACATTCATCTCATGACTTCCCTAAAAACATTCTTTGGGAACAAGAAACTAACAAATCCCAAGTGACCTATCACATATACAAACATACAGGGCAGAGTTTGGATTCGCGGTAGAAGAAAGGGAGGTTAGACATTAAGAAGAATGGTCTGGTGATGACAGTTGTGAGATAATAGAAACAGGAAAAAGAAATCTAAGTTTTCTTTCTTTTTTTAAGAACCAATAATAATTTCTCTCTTTTGACTAGTCAGTAGGGCTGGGGTGGATTGGAGGAAGCTTACATATTCCATGAACAAGCCTCTTCCTAAGGTCCTGTAAGTGATCCTGCCCCACTGATTAGCCCCTAGAAGACCCTTCAAAGGTTGGATCTCCAGGAGGGAGTGGGGGAGGAAAGCCCTGTACCAGGCAGCCTCTGCTCCATTGCTCTGGGGGGGTGGGGAAGGCAAACCCTGGTCATCCCCTCAGTCTGTAGCCCTTTTGTGTGAGTGCCTGGCAAGGGTGACGTGGGGCTGTTTCTGCGGGCACAGCTGCAGCAATTACCGGAGTGGAGGCAGGGCCCAGGCAGCACTGCCCTCCAAGATCTTCCCTTGGGCTTTTCAGCAGTAAGGGGACATGCACCCCAAGGGCCTCCACTTGGCCTGACCTTGCTGCGGGGGCTCTCTGTCCCCAGGAACAGTAGAGATGGCAAGCTTATCGAGACCCTCTCTGCCCAGCTGCCTCTGCTCCTTCCTCCTCCTCCTCCTCCTCCAAGTGTCTTCCAGCTATGCAGGTAAGACATGTTTTTTTTCCTGCCCTGGGGAGACCCTGAAAACAGAAAGGCTAGTTTCCTGGGGCTTAGCTCCTTCAAACATCCTCAAGTTGCTATATTATCTTTCTAAAACATAGACCTACTGACATGCCTCCCTTCCTCAGAAACCTTCCGTGGGTGGTTCTTACAGCCTTCAAGATGGAGTCCAGACTCTTTTTTTTTTTTGAGACAGAGTCTCCCTCTGTTGCTCAGGCTGGAGTGCAGTGGCATGATCTCGGCTCACTGCAACCTCAGCCTCCCTGGTTCAAGCGATTCTCCTGACTTGGCCTCCCAAGTAGCGGAGACTACAGGCGCCTGCCACCACACCCAGCTAAATTTTTTCTTTTCTTTTTTTTTTTTTTTTTTTGTATTTTAGTACAGACGGGGTTTCACATGTTGGCCAGGATGGTCTCGATCTCTTGACCTGCTGATCCGCCCGCCTCAGCTTCCCAAAGTACTGGGATTATGGGCGTGAGCCACTGCACTAGGCCTAATTTTTTTATTTTTAGTAGAGATGGGGTTTCACCATGTTGGCCAGGCTGGTCTGGAACCCCTGACCTCAAGTGGTCTGCCCTCCTCAGCCTCCCAAAGTGCTGAGATTACAGGCATGAGCCATTGCGTCTGACCCAGACTCCTTAATGTGACTAACTCAAGGCTTTCCTTGAACTACTTCTTACTTGTCTTTCCAGCTTTGTCTTTTCACCTCTCAAATTGAGATAAAATAATAACAACCTCTTGGAGTTCTCATCAGGATTACATGAAATGAGATATGTAACATGCTTAGCAGTGCCTGTCCATAGTAAATCTCAATAAATGTTTGTGGAATTATAATATCTTGTCATGTTTGAGACTTTGCTCTGCATAATCAGGCACCAGTAGGTTTTTATAAAGGAACCCGGCTGTCACGTGCAGAGGAGAAATAAACAGAAAGTTTCCCATCCTCAGGGAGCCACCTGACTGACAGAGGCACAGTGCATCCACTCTCCAGGTCTAGGGGAGAAAGCAGCCTTATTTCTTAGTAGCTCAGAATCTGACTTGAGAAACACATCCACATAGAAAAAAACAAGGAACTTTTTCGGGTCAGGGTCCGGGAGCCACAGTGAGGTGGAAGATACAGGGGAAGGAAGAGGGAAATAGAGCCATCCCCAGGGTGGAAGATCTCAGAAGAGAATTTGGGAAACAAGGTATGAACAAGGACTGAATAGTGAGAAGTGATGGAGAGACAGTTAAAGTAGATGGAGTGACAAAAGCAAAACCTCTAAGGGTAGAATAGGCAGCAATTTGGCCAAGTCCTAACAGGGAGGCCCATAGGAGGATTCAACCTCAAGATGCTGTGCCACATTCCAAGAGGGAACCTAAAGGCTGGGCTGAAGAGTCAGAGATGGCTACAGCTGGCAAAAAGATGGGCAGATGCTGAGAGGAGATGATTGCTAAAATGTTCTGTCCAGGACATTCACAGTATCTCTATAACCAGAGTCTTTTTTGTCGTTGTTGTTCTCAAGAAGGAAACTTGAGGCCGGGTGTGGTGGTTTATGCCCATAATCCCAGCGCTTTGGGGCCAAGGCAGGCGGATCACCTGAGGTCAGGAGTTCGAGACCAGCCTGGCCAACAGTGTGAAACCTCATCTTTACTAAAAATACAAAAATTAGCTGGATGCGGCGGTAGGTGCCTGTAATGCCAGCTACTCGGGAGGCTGAGGCAGGAGAATCACTTGAACCTGGGAGGCGGAGGTTGCAGGGAGGCGGAGGTTGCAGTGAGCCAAGATTGCACCACTGCACTCCAGCCTGGGCGACAGAGAGTAAGACTGTCTCAAAAAATAAATGAATAAATAAAAAGGAAGAAGAAGAAGAAGAACAATTGCAATCCTCCCTGGCTCTAGAATGTCATTTAAAAGTCGAGTGTCTTCTTCCTTCCCTGTTTTGAAGCAGCCCTTCTCATGACAGGCTTGCTTGCCAAGGTTCCCTCTGACCTTAAATCTCTTCCTTTTGGTGTCTTGGACAGGGCAGTTCAGAGTGATAGGACCAAGACACCCTATCCGGGCTCTGGTCGGGGATGAAGTGGAATTGCCATGTCGCATATCTCCTGGGAAGAACGCTACAGGCATGGAGGTGGGGTGGTACCGCCCCCCCTTCTCTAGGGTGGTTCATCTCTACAGAAATGGCAAGGACCAAGATGGAGACCAGGCACCTGAATATCGGGGCCGGACAGAGCTGCTGAAAGATGCTATTGGTGAGGGAAAGGTGACTCTCAGGATCCGGAATGTAAGGTTCTCAGATGAAGGAGGTTTCACCTGCTTCTTCCGAGATCATTCTTACCAAGAGGAGGCAGCAATGGAATTGAAAGTAGAAGGTGAGTAGTGCCATATAATATTAGGTATTAACTGTTGGGTGGCCAAGAACAATTATTCTCTCAACTGAGATGAGATCCCTCAACCCAAACATCTCAGTCCTGGGAATGATTTCCATAAAAATGTACACATCAATAAACAGAAACTCATGCTTAGGGATGTCTGTTGCATCATTATTCAGAGTAGCAAGGAAATTGGGATCAAAATCAATGCCTTTGAGTAGGTAAGTGACAGAATGAACAATGGTAGCCATACTGTGAATATTATGCAGGCATTAAAAAGATTATTTTAGCACTAGGCCAGATGGTTTGGAGGCCTTCTATAAGGTATTATTGAGTGATAAGAGCAAGCTGCTGTAGGATACAAAAACAAAAACAAAACCCTAGGGCATGGTGGTTTGCCTCGCAGCTACTCAGGAGGCTGAGACGGGAGGCTGGCTTGAGCCCAGGGGTTTGCAGTTACAGTGAGCTATGATTGCACCACTGCACTCCAACCCGGGTGACAGAGCAAAGACCTTCACCCCCACTCCCTACCCGTCTCTAAAAAAAACAAAAACAAAAACAAAAAAACCCTTGGGCCCAGCGCCGTGGCTCACACCTGTAATCCCAGCACTGTGGGAGGCCGAGGTGGGCAGATCACAAGGTCAGGAGATTGAGACCATCCTGGCTAAAACGGTGAAACCCCGTCTCTACTAAAAATACAAAAAAAAAAAAAAAAATTAGCCAGGCATGGTAGCAGGCGCCTGTAGTCCCAGCTACTCGGGAGGCTGAGGCAGGAGAATGGCGTGAACCCGGAAGCGGAGGTTGCAGTGAGCCAAAATCCTTCCACTGCACTCCAGCATGGGGGACACAGCGAGACTCCGTCTCAAAAAAAAAAAAAAAACCCTGTATTTGTGAGCGCGCACACACACACACACACACACACCTGTGCTTGGTCCTAGTGAATAAGCAAGTAAATCAAATGTCTAAATATAATTATAGAAAGGAGATGTCACCTTTTGGCTGTACCTCCACTATTTCATTCTGCAGAATTGCAGAATTTCTTTTTTTTTTCCTTTCTTTCTTTTCTTTTTTTTTTTGACACAGAGTCTCGCTCTGTCACCCAGGCTGGAGTGCAATGGCGCCCTCCGCCTCCTGGGTTCAAGTGATTCTCCTGCCTCAGCCTCCCGAGTAGCTGGGATTACAGGTGCCCACCACCACACCCAGCTAATTTTTGTATTTTTAGTAGAGACAGGGTTTCACCAGGTTGTCAAGGTTGGTCTCAAACTCCTGACCTCAGGTGATCCACTCGCCTCAGCCTCCCAAAGTGCTGGGATTACAGGCATGAGCCATGGTGCCCGGCCTCAGAATTTCATTTTCAACATGTTTTGCATGATGGGTGATTTTGGAGAATATTTTTTGCTCTATCGCAGGATGATTAAGATGTGGACAAGGTGAAGCCGATGGAGGGGGAGCTTTGAAAGTTACTTGCTATTTAATTGAGGAACTAAACTGCTTTGAGAGCCTGGGGGTCAGATCCTCTGCCTTTTCCTCCTCCCCACCTGCAGTGCAAACATCAGACAATTGATCACTATTGTATCTTGGAGGTGGGAGTGACCATTGCAGTGCTGGGACCAGAAGATGGCATTGTATGTGGAACAACAAAGCACTATTTCTAGAGACTGCCTGCAGGGATATGGAAATAGCTTTATGTGTCTCAGAATGTTCTTCATACAGCTGTTTTTATTGGGGAAATTCTACTTGCCGAAAAGTTTGATAGTGAGACCCTCTCCAGTTTGCAGATTTTTCTCCTTCCTGCTCAACAACTTCCTAGCTCAGTAACTGCCTCTCCCAACAAACTCCCTCAGTTTCACCACACCAAAAAAGGAAGACAAGCCGGTTGCGGTGGCTCACACCTATAACCCCAAAACTTTGGGAGGCCGAGGCGGGTGGATCACCTGAGGTCGGGAGTTCGAGACTAGCCTGACCAACATGGAGAAACCCTGTCTCTACTAAAAACACAAAATTAGCCTGGCGTGGTGGCGCATTCCTGTAATCCCAGCTGGGAGGCTGAGGCAGGAGAATCGCTTGAACCCCGGAGGCGGAGGTTGCAGTGAGCCAAGATCGTGCCATTACACTCCAGTCTGGGCAAGAAAAGTGGAACTCCATCTCAAAAAAAAAAAAAAAAAAAACAAGGAAGACAAAAAGAAAAGCAGCTAAAGACTTTGCCTCAGGGGAGAAAGTTCTCTTTTGGGTTGCTATCCACATTCCAACCTCCTGTTCCCACCTCTTCGTCTGCATGCCTAAGAAACTGTTTTACAAGTAAATAAGGGACGCTTTGTCTAGGCTTTGGAGCCAGGAAGTTGAGACAAATTTAGGAATGAGATGAAGTAATGGTATTATTGCAAGTCTCAGGTGTAACTACCTCTGCTCTTTCTCTGAAGAGTTTCTAATTTCTCTTGTTTACTTATTTTTTTCTTGTCATTTTTGTGATTTTATTACTAGTTGTCTCTAATCCTTTCTTTAAATTCTTCATTATGAAACATAAAAACAAATGCCAGGCGCGGCAGCTCACGCCTGTAATCCCAGCACTTTGGGAGGCCGAAGCGGGCAGATCACCCGAGGTCAGGAGTTCGAGACCAGCCTGATCAACATGGAGAAACCCCGTCTCTACTAAAAAATACAAAATTAGCTAGGCGTGGTGGCACATGCCAGTAATCCCAGCTACTTGAGAGACTGAGGCAGGAGAATCGCTTGAACCGGGAGGCAGAGGTTGCGGTGAGCCAAGATCGCGCCATTGCACTCCAGCCTGGGCAACAAGAGCAAAACTCTGTCTCAAAAAAAAAAAACCACATACAAACCAGAGATAATATTATAATGAGCCTCCAAGTGCCTACCACCTTGCTGCAGCACTTGTCAATCCAGGGACCACCCACCTCACCGGCTCCCCACTCATTACCACCCTCCCCTACTCAATTACTGAGGTAAATCCTAGGCAGCATGATCATTTCTTTTTTTTCTTTTTATTTATTTTGAGACAGGATCTGTCTCTGTCACCCAGGCTGGAGTGTAGTGGCATATCTCTGCTCACTGCAGCCTCTGCCTCCCGGGCAGAAGCCATCCTCCCACCTCAGCCTACATAGTAGCTGGGACCACAGGCACACACCACCACACACTGCTAATGTTTTGTATTTTTTGTAGAGACTGGGTTTTACCATGTTGATCAGGCTGGTCTCAAACTCCTAGGCTCAAGCAATCCTCCCACCTCGGCCTCCCAAAGTGCTAGAATTACAGGCGCGAGCCACTGCACCCAGCGAAGAACACTTTTTAAAAAATAAATAGGCCGGGCGCGGTGGCTCACACCTGTAATCCCAGTACTTTGGGAGCCCAAGGAGGGCGAATCATGAGGTCAAGAGATTGAGACCATCCTAGCTAACATGGTGAAACCCCATTTCTACTACAAATACAAAAACAAAATTAGCCTGGCGTGGTGGCAGGCGCCTGTAGTCCCAGCTACTTGGGAGCTGAGGCAGGAGAATGGAGTGAACCCGGGAGGCGGAGCTTGCAGTGAGCTGAGATCATGCCACTGCACTCCAGCCTGGGGCAACAGAGTGAGACTCAAAAAAAAAAAAAAAAAAAGCCCCCCCTCCCCACACACAATAATATAAATAAATAAATAACCACAATACTATTATCACATCTTACAAACTCAACAAAAATTTCTTAATATCATCAAATACCCAGTTTGTGTTCAAATTTTCCTGATTGTTTCATAAATATACTCTTACAGTTGGTTTCTTTTAGCGAGATTCAAATGAGACCCACCTGTTGACCTTTGCCCTTAGGGTTTCCCAGGGTCTGAATTTTGTTGACGACATTCCCATGTTGCTATGTAATACGGTCCTCCATGCCCTGTGTTTTTCTGTAAACTGATAGATGTGGAGGTGCAATGACATTTGTGTTTGATTTACTTTGGCAAATATAGTTCATCAGTGATACTCTATACTTCTTGTTGCTTTACATCCGGAGGCTGATAATGTCTGCTTTTCTCTCTTTTCTAATTATTTGTGAAAGGAAAAATGTGGGGGGTTGGGAGAAAAAAACCCTTAAGTACATACTCGCTAAATCACATTGCTACAGGTAACTTCCATTAAGAACTTGAAAGTAAAGGTAGCTGCATTTTCCCCTAGGGAACACAATGATAGACAGGAGCCTTAGTCTACAGCTTGAAGGATTGTAATTATACCTAAGCAACCCTCCTGGACCAGTTTAATGTTATTAGCTGTGATGTATCCCTACCTTTGATGTCATTATCCTTACTTAGCTCCCTTAAAGCAGAGATCAAGATGAAAAGGGCTTCAGCTGCAGCATGGCACATGGAGATTAGAGTGGGGCTTTTGGATGCTGAGGAGCAGACCTAGAATGGGAAATAGATGGGAGCCACAGAAGTGAAGGTCCCCCTCCCTCATTGCTCAACCTACTCCACATCTCCAGGTCTGCACATCTGTTCAGTTACTGAATCCTGTGTAAGCTACCTTCTTTTTCTTTTTTCTTTTATTTATTTATTTTTTTTTTTTTTGAGATGGAGTTTTGCTCTTGTTACCCAGGCTGGAGTGCAATGGTGCAATCTCGGCTCACTGCACCCTCCAACTCCCAGGTTCATGCAATTCTCCTCCCTCAGCCTTCCAAGTAGCTGGGATTACAGGCTGCACCACCATGTCTGGCTAATTTTTGTATTATCAGTAGAGAGAGGGTTTCACCATGTTGGCCAAGCCAGTCTCGAACTCCTGACCTCAAGTGATCCACCCACCTTGGCCTCCCAAAATGCTGGGATTACAGGTGTGAGCCACCATGCCCGCTGTAAACTACCTTCTTAAAAGCTCTAGAAGAGGGCTCTTAACCTTTTGTTGTGTGTCATGCACCTTCCGCAAGCTGATGAAGTTGATAGACCCATCTCAGAATTTTTTTTTTTTTTTTGAGACAGTGTCTCACTCTGTCACCCAGGATTGGTTGCAGTGGCACGATCATGGCTCATTGCAGCCTCCACCTCCCAGGCTCAAGTGATCCTCCTGACTCAGCCTCTTGAATAGCTGAGACCACAGGCTTGTGTCACCATGCCCAGGTAATTTTTAATTTTTTTTCGTAGAGGCAGGGTCTCACATTATGTTGCCCAGTCTGGCCTCGAGAACTCCTGGGCTCAAGCAATCTTCCTGCCTTGGCCTCCCAAAGTGGTGGGATTACAGGGGAGAGCCACCACACCTAGCCAGAAGAATGTTTTAAATACACCAAATAAAACATTTATACCAAAATACAGTTATCAAAATATTAAATTAACAAGAGTTAGGGTGACCCTATTAATTAGTGTAATTTCAAAATAGTAATGAACATAAGTGATAGTTTGAGATTTCTGTGACTTTTCTAATGTGACGTGAAAATATTTGTGATTTTTCTTTTTCTTTTTTT
Organism: Homo sapiens; assembly: GCF_000001405.40. Classification (NCBI taxonomy): domain Eukaryota; kingdom Metazoa; phylum Chordata; class Mammalia; order Primates; family Hominidae; genus Homo; species Homo sapiens. Next base: position 930,813 of record NT_167244.2, read on the forward strand.
TTTTTGAGATGGAGTTTCGCTCTTGTTGCCCAGGCTGGAGTGCAATGGCAAGATCTCGGCTCACCTCAACCTCCGCCTCCTGGGTTCAAGCGATTCTCCTGCCTCAGCCTCTTGAGTAGCTGGGATTACAGGAATGTGCCACCACGTCCAGCTAATTTTGTATTTTTAGTAGAAACAGGGTTTCTCCATGTTGGTCAGGCTGGTCTTGAACTCCCAACCTCAGGCGATCCGCCCGCCTCGGCCTCCCAAAGTGCTGGGATTACAGGTGTGAGCCACCGCACCTGGCCAATATTTGTGATTTTTATTGACGACAAAGTCAAAGGTTCTCTTCATATTATTGTGGTGTATCGCCTACAAGCATAATTAAAATAAACACTAAATTTCAGTTTAAAGTTTACTGAAAATAAATATGTATTTTTTATTCCCTATTTAAGCTTTGAATCCCCTGACTTCCTATACCATTACCACTGTCCTAGTTCAGGTTCATGTTGTTTTTTACTTTAATTGTTATCACAGTCTCTTAACATTTCTCCCTATGTTCTCCAGTCCTGTAGGTGCTAAATCTGACGTGGTCACTTCTCAGCTTGGAATCCTTCAGTGCACCACCACAGCCTTGAACTACATATTTGAAATACATATTTATTTTCAGTAAACTTTAAACTGAAATTTAGTGTTTATTTTAATTATGCTTGTAGGCGATACACCACAATAATATGAAGAGAACCTTTGACTTTGTCGTCAATAAAAAGTCCCTTGAGGGACTTCAGATGTAAGTCCCTTAGCTGCTCGTTAAAACTCCCCCAGCCTGACCCAATACACAATCTTGACTTTAAACCACTTGTCATTCTAAATCACTAGCATTTCCTGGAAAAAAAAGCCATTTTTCCTTCAGGGCTAAGCTCAGGGACCAATTCTGTGTCACCTTCTTTGAATCCTGATGATATTCACTTCTTTATTTGACCTGATTTATTGGGCCCCAGACACCATGCTGAGTGTTGGGGATTCAGCTCTGGACAATGTCAAATGTCAGTCCTGCCTTTCAGATCCTTTCTACTGGGTGAGCCCTGGAGTGCTGGTTCTCCTCGCGGTGCTGCCTGTGCTCCTCCTGCAGATCACTGTTGGCCTCGTCTTCCTCTGCCTGCAGTACAGACTGAGAGGTACAGGGCAGAGGGTGGGTGGATCAGGATCCTTTCTTTAAATGAGCTGGCTTCTTGGAGCTACACCACTTAACATGTATTTGTGAGTGACTTCTGGGTTCAGAAGTTCTTCTCACTATTGAGTGATAAAGAAAAAAAATAACTCCATGATGAAAGAGTTTTACATCTTACGGAATGCTTTCATATGAATAATCGGACCTAGCATTTCCCTATGAGCTAACTATGCCATATAGTAACCCCATTTTACAGAGGATACAACTGAGGCCAGGAGTAGTTCAGTGACTTACTCAAACCGATATAACTTATAAGTGGTAGAGCTGAGGCCTCTGTATCATACCTAGCAGCTCCATGCAACTTGGGAGAGTGTGAGCTTCGAAGTCAGACAGGTCTAGGCTATTAGGAGTTTTGAATAAAGATACTGAAGTGAAAGTCTCTACCACACAGTAGGCGTTCGAAAATTGTTTCCTCTTTCTCCATTCAACACTGAGGACTCAGGTTCAGCTGCTGATGAAGCTCCTCTTTTTTGCCTAGAGCTTTCATTCTGAGCCTTCTCCTCCTACCAAGTGTCTCCCCAATGCCAGAGCAGGAAGAGTCTTCACTCCTCCCCATGCCCCACCTCCCATTTGTTACTAAGAGGAGAGGAGAAAGTAGCAAGGAGGGTATGGGGAATGTTCTGGGGGAATGGGTGTTGGTGCGATCAACAACAAAGTCCTTTCTCTCACCTTGAATTCATCCCAGATGCCTGCTTGTTTACTTCTTCCACACAAAAAAAGGCCTTCAGCCCTCATGGCTGAGCAGAAAGAATCTGAATGTTAGAGTCAGGCAGCCTGGGTTTGAATTCCATCTCAGGTACTGAACTCTATAGCAAAATTCTTAGATTCTCCAAGCTTCAGTTGCCTTGTCTGTCAAATAGAGAAAACATCCTTCGTCCTAAATTGTAGGGAGGATTAAAGTCATGCAAAGTGCCTACTACAAATCCAGTCACAAAGTAGCTAGCTACTCACTAAATGTTCAGCTCCTCCCTCCTCATTCAGATGGGAAGTGGCTTTAGATAAACAAAGTGGCAACGCAGTGGGCTGGAGCAGCTCTGTGAACTGAGAATCCAAGAAAAGGGGCGAAGAGCAGCTGGGATGTATTGGATGCTTGTGCTGGCTTGGAGCATTGCTCACATTCTTTATTCGCTATTGTATCTAGACTATAGCTAGAGAAAGAGCCGCAACCATTGGCTTTAAATCCAGTGCTCTTCCTACTCTCCTGAGGTTGTTTCCAGGCTGCAGAGAAATAGCCTGCACAAGGGGCCCAGGCGCTGGGTGTGGGAGGGTCCCCACCGAGAGCCAGAACATGCAGGAACTAAAATGTTGCCTTTTTCTATTTTAGGAAAACTTCGAGCAGAGATAGGTGAGTTCCAGTCATCGTTTCTCCCAATTCTTGCCTTTTGGTTTTTTGGCATAACGGAAATGGTCCCGTTCTTGGACCGTCTCTCCCTCTCAATACCCTGTTTTCCCCTCAGTTTCCCTTTCTCTACAGTGGGTGTGTCGTGCCTAGAACAAGTTTTAAGTAATTAAATAACAAAGACTCAGGATAAAAGATCCTTTTTGAGTGCCCTACTAAATCCATTTCCATTTGTTTCTCTTTCAGAGAATCTCCACCGGACTTTTGGTAAGTTCCGGCATGTCTAGGCCCTCCCAGGTCAACTTGGTATTTCACTCTAGTTCCAGTCACCTGGGGGAACAAGGACCCCTGGCTCCTGGTTGAGTCCCTTCCTCTCTTCTCTTTTCTTTCTTTAAATAAGAAGTCATTTGCATTTAGGATTGGTAAAATCATAATAAAAATACTCATGTACTGTTTTTATGTGCCAGGCACTATTCTAACTACTTTACAAAAACGTTATCTTATTCTGTTTAACTCCTTATGCACATGATCTCTCTTTTCAGGAATGGCAAAACAGAGGTAAATAGATCGTTTACACGTAAACCTGATGTCTGGTTGGGGAGGTGAAACAAACAGAAACAAGACACAACTGTATCACCTGTACTTATATTTCTGCTTTACAAACTCAGGATGTTTCCATGAGTACAGAACATGACTAATCAGAGAAGACCTCATAGAGGAATAGAAAAGCCACCAAGCCCCACTAGGAATTGACCCCTCAAGGACATGGTTTCTAGCCTTTTTGTTCACTGCAGATTGCCCAATGCCTAAAGATAATGGCAACAGAAGAGCACCCAAATATTTGTTAGATAAATGTTGCAGACACTAGAAGGTGTCATTAGGGCACAGATGGTACCTTCTCTGAGCAAACTTCCTTCACAGCTCCTCCTCCCGAGGCTGTAGGTGACTCTACTCTTGTCACCTGGCACACAGAGTTCTATCGTACGATTTAGGAAATTAGACCAGTGTGTGGACCACACACACACACATCTTTACACACCCAAAGAGGAGGAATAGTATCTTTGTTTTGGAGGACTTGACTATGAAAGGTCTTAACTCCTTTTTGTACCATGAATCTCTCTGGCACTCCAGTGAAGTCTAAAGGACCCCTTTGCAGAATGTTTTTAAATATACACATAAAATAGAACACATAGGATTGCAAAAACAATCATTGTACTAAAATACAGTTATCAACCGATAATCACATTTGTGATATAGTAACATAAATGTTTCTTTTTTTTTTTTTTTGAGGCAGAGTTTTGCTCTTGTCACCCAGGCTGGAGTGCAATGGCGCGATCTAGGCTCACTGAAACCTCTGCCTCCCGGGTTCAAGCGATTCTCAGCCTCCTGAGTAGCTGGGATTACAGGTGCCCGCCACCACACCCAGCTAATTTTTGTATTTTTAGTAGAGACTAGGTTTCACCAGGTTGGCCAGGCTGGCCTCGAACTCCTGACCTCAGGTGATCCACCTGCCTTGGCCTCCCAAAGTGCTGGGATTACGGGCATGAGCCACCGTGCCCGGCCATAAATATTTCTTTAGCCAAAGTAATACATTAAGTAATGTAGCAGCAAGTCTAATAACCTGTAATTTCTTTCTTTCTTTCTTTCTTTCTTTTTTTTTGAGATGAAGTTTTTTTGAGATGGAGTGCAATGGCACAATCTCGGCTCACTGCAACCTCCACCTCCTGGGTTCAAGCGATTCTCCTGCCTCAGCCTCCCAAGTTGCTGGAACTACAGGCGCATGCCACCATGCCCAGCTAATTTTTGTATTTTTAGTAGAGACGGGGTTTCACCATGTTGGCCAGGCTGGTCTTGAACCCCTGACCTCAGGTGATCTGCCTGCCTTGGCCTTCCAAAGTGCTGGGATTACAGGCATGAGCCACCAGGCCCAGCCCAATAACCTTTAATTTCAACATACTAATAAACATAAACAGTATTTCAAGATTTCTGCAATAACTCTAATGGGAATGAAAACATCTGTGGCTTCCATTGGTAATTAAGTCACAGGTACTGCTCATATTGTGGTTAGTTGTAAAATGTTTTGGTTTGTTTTGTTTTTTCCAAGACTTGGGGGAATGGGTGTTGGTGGGATCAACAAGAGTCTTGCTCTGTGGCCCAGGCTGGAGTGCAGGGGCAGGATCTTGGCTCACTGCAACCTCCGCCTCCCAGGTTCAAGCGATTCTCCTGCCTCAGCCTCCTGAGTAGCTGGCATTACAGGCATGTGCCACCACGCCCAGCTAATTTTTACATTTTTAGTAGAGATGGGGTTTCACCATGTTGGCCTGGCTGGTCTTGAACTCTTGGCCTCATGATCCACCCGTCTCGGACTCCCAGAGTGTTGGGATTACAGGCATGAGCCACCACACCTGGCAGTTGTTACATTTTTAATGAAAGAAAATGTTAAATCCAGTTATTGAAAATAAGGAGGCAGTACTTTTCTCATCCAAGTTCATGGACTTTCTGAATTTTGTCCCCAGAGTCCTTTGGTGTTCTAGGACCCCAGGTTAAGGAACCAAAAAAGACAGGTGGGTGGGGCATGAGGGGGAACACATGTTAACCCTGTTTGTTCTGGTGAACAATTCAGATCCCCACTTTCTGAGGGTGCCCTGCTGGAAGATAACCCTGTTTGTAATTGTGCCGGTTCTTGGACCCTTGGTTGCCTTGATCATCTGCTACAACTGGCTACATCGAAGACTAGCAGGTGCAGTGGCTGGGCAGCAGGCAAGACCACCAAATAGTGGGGGACCAAGTCAGCTCTGAATGGGAAGCCAAAAGAGAATAGAACCAGGACTCAAGATTAGGGGAGCTGGGATTTCCTTATTCCTCTGTCCCCATGCCCAACCCCAGGCTCTTCTGAGAAACTGTGAAGAGAACCACTTACTGGATCTGTGGGATCCCCCAGTGGAAAGGGCAGTGTGGGTCACTCCAAATGTCCATAGGGAGGATGTGGGGAAGGTGCTATTCATCTTCCACTAATCACATATTTGTTTCTTTTTGTTTTCAGGGCAATTCCTTGAAGAGCTACGTAAGTTCTCTTCTCTCTGTTATAAGCAGAGAATAAAAAGCCAGGAAAGGGAGACAGAAGCAACAAGAGGAAGAGGCGGGCTATTGAGGGATCACATTCCCAGAGGAAAGGAGGAGCTGGAGAGCCTGGGTGGAGGGAAGACTCCTCCTGGGAGGTAGAGGGCAAAGAAGCCAGCTGTTAGAGACACATTTACAGGTGGCAGAGAAGCTGGAGGCACTCCTATCTGCCACCTGATCCATTCCTCCTTCACTGCCCCTAAGCAGGAATCCAACCCTAGCTGGTCTCATTGCCCATTCCACAGCAACTGCCCAGTGCCTCACCTCTCAGATCAACCATTGAGGCAGGAATGGAGACAAGATGACCCCAAGGGCTTTTCTTCTCCCTAGTTCAATGGTTTTATGATACAAACTACTGACATACGTTTTTCAAGTTATTTTCTCCTTCTTCTAGGAAATCCCTTCTGAGTGATGTCACATCTTGGCAGGGGTGGAGGAGAGCCTGGTTGCCCAGGGATTTGTCCTTGGGGACATCTCATCCATCAAGTTGCACACTCACTGGCATCTTTGCTATGGGGACATTCCAATTTGCACTTTCAGGAACACTCTGAATTCCAAGTAGAATTGATTTCCCTTCTTCTGTCATCTACCTTTTCTCTTCATTTTCCCATTTTTATTACCCTTCTTTCCATTTCTCTCTCCAGTCTTCCACCTGGAAGCCCTCTCTGGCTAAGGACAGGCAGGTGCCCCTCTCTCCATCAGAGGACACCTGTACTGGAGAGCAACACAGGATGGTCTCTGCCATGAACTGGAGGCCAGGAATCTCCTCACTGAAAATTACAGTATGGTAACTTTGCAAATGGTGGTTGTTTCTTCCAAGACTCCAGCCCTGATTGCGCAAAACTGAAAGGCATGTGAAGGGAAGGAAGAGGAAGAGTGCAAAACATTGAAGAGAGAGCTGAGTGAGCTGAAGAGTGAGGATATGAGTAGCCCCAACCCAAACCTGGAGATGGGGAGAAACCTACAGAATACTAGCCAGAGCTCCTCCTTGTCTTGGCAGCCTACTAGGGACCTGGGGAAGCAAAAACGAAAGCTGGGCAACATGCCTGCTTTAGAATGTTTTCCTTCTACTTACACATCTTCCACAGGTCTCAGAATCTTTCCTTCCTCTCATCCTTTTCTCCTATCTTCATATCTATCAGAGTATCCACTGTTTATTCAACAACTACTACTTGATGGTCAGACACAAACAAACAAGCTAGGTGCTAATTAATAAAGATACGAGTTTTGGCCGGGTGCGGTGGCTCACGCCTGTAATCCCAGCACTTTGGGAGGCCGAGGCGGGCGAATCACGAGGTCAGGAGTTCAAGACCAGCCTGGCCAACATGGTGAAACCCCATCTCTACTAAAAATACAAACAATTAACTGAGCATAGTGGTGGGCACCTATAATACCAGCTACTCCGGAGGCTGAGGCAGGAGAATCGCTTGAACCCAGGAGGCAGAGGTTGCAGTGAGCTGAGATCGCGCCACTGCACTCTAGCCGGAGTGACAGAGTAAGACTCTGTCTCAAAAATAAATAAATAAATAAATAAATAAATAAATAAATAAATAAATAAATAAAAAATAATAATACAAGTTTTCATAAGCACACTTCTAACCCCTTGTCTTTTATGTATTTCCTTCCTTATCCACGCACCTGTCTCCCTCTACTCCAGCCTCATTACCCCAGAGGTCAGTCCTCAGGAAAACTAAACACAAAGAAAGAGCTCAGTCAGAAAGGCCATTTATTTATGTTTCAAGATGCTCACTGCCTCCTTTGTTTTGTCTCCTTTGCAGGCCTTCTCTCTTAGGCCTCTTCTCCTGGGGGTATGGATCCTGGGGGGAGATTGATCACCTCCATGCTTCCATTCCTCCCCAGCCATAGTGGGGACATCATGAGAGAAGCCAAGCCACTGGCCCAGGATCACCCGGCATTTATGGTGGCTGCTCTGGCACAGGTCCTTGCCTTTATAGCCCCTCCAGTGATCCATAAGGCCCTCTTTCTCCCCAAAGGAGAGGTCACAGATAGGGCAAAGGTAGCTCTTCTGCTTCCAGTGGGTCTGCTGGTGTCTGACCAGCCTGGAAAATGAGCTGAAAGACTTGCTGCAATGGAAGCAGTAGTTGGGCGGCTCTGTGAGGTGGGCCTTCTGGTGTCTGGAGAGATAGGATTTCTTGCTAAAAGTCAAAGAACAATGGGGGCAACAGAAGACATTGAGTCTTGAGGGCTTCACTGGATGAGAGTTGGATCTGGCATCCTGACAGAGGGTTCCAGTGATGGGTGCCTGGGTCCTGGTCACAGGTGCTTGGTTCTTAAGTACAGATGCCTGGTTCTGGGCCATAGGACCCTCAGTTCTAAATATGGGTTCCTGGGACCTGGCC